>NC_000012.12:116399521-116551037 GCF_000001405.40 Homo sapiens
AGATGAGACCACAGCCCCAGCCAGCTTCTTAAGTGCAGCCTCATAAGAAACCGTAAGCAGAGAACCAAGATAAACCATGCCTGAACTCCTGATCCACAGAAACTGTGAAATAGTAAGTGTGTATTGTTTTAAGCCTTGAAGCCTGTGGGAATATATATAGTAACGTGTAACTAATATGGCAGGGAAGGACAGGTTGCCAACCTTTGGAATTCTATGGGTCTACTTTAGAATGAGAATTTGTGGGTCTCTCACCCCACGAGACAGCAGAGGACCTGGGTTCCAAAGGTTTTCCTTTTCTGTCTCCCCGATGTTGAGGTCTTGCAGGCAGGAACTATGTGTATGCTCCCAGTGCTCTGTCCAGTGTGCTGCACAGCCTGGGTGACCCATCATTATTTACTGAATGCTAAATTGATGAGTGGGACCCAATGCTCTTCATAGGATCAGGGGAAACCCAGCTGGAATACACCACAAGCAGGACTTGAAGCTCCTCAGGAACAAGGTCAGAGGCTAGGGCTATAATAGCTGTTTTGTCTCTTTTTATGAAAAGCTTTTACTGAGAAGTAAGAGCATGGTTCCAGGCCATGACAGTGACACCACGAGTGTGTGCTGGTCTCAAGGGAGGCTTAAGTATTAAGGGCAGTGCAGGGTGGTGACTAGTTGTGGCACAAGAGTGTCGGAGCCCATCAGGTTTGACCCAAGATCCTGACTGAGTCCTTCCTGGTTCCTTTCATTGTTAAGCCTGTTTTCTATCTGTAAAATGGGGTTAACAATGGTCCTATTGGCTGGGCATGGTGGCTCATGCTTGTAATCCCAACACTTTGGGAAGCCAAGGTGGGTGGATCACTCGAGGTCAGGAGTTTGAGACCAGCCTGACTAACATAGTGAAACCCCATCTCTACTAAAAATACAAAAATCAGCTGGGTGTGGTGGTGGGCACCTGTAGTCCCAGCTACTCGGGAGGCTGAGACTGGAGAATGGCTTGAACCCAGGAGGCAAAGGTTACAGTGAGCAGAGATGGCACCACTGCACTCCAGCCTGGGCAACAGAGCGAGATTGTCTCAAGAAACATAAACAGAAACAAGCAATGGTCCTTATCTTGTGGGTTTGTCATGAGGATGAATGAACACATAAAATTCTTAGCACATAGTAAATGCTCAGTTAATACTTTTCACAGGAAACATGTTTGGAAAGATCAGCTAAATGTAAGTTGGTGACTCCCACGCAGCTAAAATTGTGTACATTGGAGCCTGATTTTCTTTTCCTGGGGCCTCAGAAAGCTGGTTCTACCCAGCACATGCCAGATAGATGAGGAAGCTTGGGGAGAGGGGCCTGGGAAGGAAGGTGGGTGATGCTGTCTAAGAAGTCAATACTTCCTCTTTCTCTTTCTTAGAGAAGTACTGCTGCCCAGACCCAAAGAATTACTGGAAACAGAACTAGTCTGATATTAAACAGAGTAGTAACCATGCACTTGAGATAATTTGAGGGCCACACAGAATGTCCACCTACCCCCAGACTCACCTTGTATCAGTCTATTCTCACACTGCTATAAAAGACTACTTGAGATTGGGTAATTTATGAAAAAAAGAGGTTTAATTGACTCTCAGTTCTGCAGGCTATACAGGAAGCATGGAGGCCTCAGGAAACTTACAATCATGGGGGAAGGGTAAAGGGGAAGCAGGCATGTCTTCACATGGCGGCAGAAGAGAGAGCAAAGGGGGAAGTGCTAAACACTTTTAAACAATCAGACCTCGGGAGAACTCACTCACTATCATGAGAACAGCAAGGGGGATGTCTGCCTCATGATCGAATCACTTCCCACCAGGCCCCTCTTCCAACACATGGGAATTACAATTCTACATGTGATTTGGGTGGGGACACAGAGTCACATATCACACCCTTAGGTCTATCATTGTGCCTGGGAGTTCCACCATTCAACCTGCTTCTAAAGGTCCCTGGGAAATGTAATTTGTCAGCTTAAACTCAACCACATCTATTCAGAGCCTATTGCATGTAATCTGCTCTAGGGGAAAGATCTATAAACGTTTTCTTTATACTTTACACGGTGCTTTTATACAGCTAATTTCATCACTGCAATAATGTTATGAGGTAGGTATTTATGATGATTCCCATTTTGCAGAGGAAGAAACTCAGGCCCAGAGAGGTTAAGGGGCTTATTGGGAGGCCAGGCAGATGTCAACTGGCAGGGCTAGAAAGCACATCTGGAAAGCACATCTGAAAACTCCAAGTTGTTGGTGTTTTCTTGCTCATCTCAGCTGCTCTCAGGAAGTTTACAGGAAACAGACAAATCAGCCAATCAAGAAATGGTCAAGGCTTTCAAACTGGGTTCCCTAGTATTCCCCTGAGGTCTCCTGAGTGTTAAGAGGTAAGAGAGGGTTGGATAGCGTGCGTGGCAGTAGGTCTTGGGCTCCCCAACACACTTTGGCAGGATCTCCTCTTTCTTCTGCCTTTAGAGGTAAAAGTGTTCGATATTTCAGGGGAGATAATACAACAGTAAAACCGAACAAGAATTTCTTGAATATCTATTGTGCATTCAGCCTGGAGTGGGGTGGGGAGGAAGGTAGCTTCAGGCAGTATAAGAAGAGCTTACAAAACAACCCACATGTGAAAACTTGAAGACTGATAAGAAATTAAATAACGGCTCAGTATAGCAACAGAAGCACTGTCCCATAGCCATGTCTGGTTCCCTAATTAATGACTTCGGCAGTGACTTGGGTGGTCAAGAGAGAGCCGGGAAGTGTTGAGCTGAGTAACCCAGCCCCACCCATGATCAGCAATAGGGCACAGGAGCCCGGAGCGATGAAACCTGGGCTGGACAAGTTTTGACAGAGAGAAGATACTCAGGAAGGGCCTCATTGGGAGGTGGTGAGGGTGGGTTAGGTGCAGTATCACAGCAACCAGCCCCTGAAGAGAGGGCAACACCAAAGCCTGGTGTTTGTCTCCAACCACTGCAGGGTTGCACTCTGCAGATGACGACTCACCCTTGGTAAAGGGCTCCCCATCCCTGCCTGATATGGTTTGGATTTGTGTCCCTGCCCAAATCTGTTGTCGAATTTAATCCCCAGTGTTAGAGGAGGGGCCTGGTGGGACATGACTGAATCATGGGGGCGGATTTCCTCCTTGCTGCTCTCACCATAGCGAGTGAGTTCTCATGAGATCTGGTTGTTTAAAAGTGTGTAGTACCTTCCCCTTCACTCTCTTCCTCCTTCTCTGGCCATGTAAGACGTGCCTGCTTGCCCTTCCCCTTCTGCCATGATTGTAAGTTTCCCAAGGCTTCCCCAGTCATGCCTTCTGTACAGCCTGGGGAACTCTGAGTCAATTAAACCTCTTTTCTTTATAAATTACCCAGTCTCAGGTAGTTCTTTATAACAACGTGAGAATGGAGAAACACACTGCCTCCCTCACCCCATCGGGTCTCCCTTCTGCTCACTGGCACATGGGATTCTGCTGGGCAGAGGCCATCCGATGAATGCTCCAACAGACTGGGTTGACATCCCAGCCTTGCCCCTCTGTAACTGAAATATGTGGATAATAATAACACCCATCTTACAGGGCTGCTTGGATAGTGAACTAGATCATGCACATAAAGAGCCTGGCACCATTAGTTCCTGGCACATGCAAGTTCTCAATAAATGTTGTTGGCTATTATCTGCAGCTACATTCAACATGGGCAGGCTGGGAGCAAAGCTCTTCTTGGCTTTAATTCACTCATTTAATAAGCATTTAATGAGCACCTACTCTGTGCCAGGCACTGCACTGGGAGCTGAGGCCAGAGACTGAAAAGTTCATTTTCTTTAAGTAGCTCCCAGTCTATTGGGAAAGCAGAAGTGTGAACCATTCTTATTCTGTGTGATTATTGAAACGTCTGCTTGGTAGTAATGATTATAGTTAACATGTGTTGGGTACTTGCCATGTGCCAGTTATGAAGAACTTTATAGGTATTATTATCTCATTTGATCCTTACGAGGTAAGACTTGATCCTCCATTTTACAGAGGGGAAACTGAGGCTCTGAAAGGCTCTGAATGGTCATGTCTGGGTTTCCAATCAAGGATGGAGGAGAGTTCACCAGGAGGCAGAGGTACTGCAAACTCCAAGCCTTGAGGGTTTGAGAGATCATATAGAAGTCAGAATGGATGAAACATAAAATCCTTGAACTATGAATCCCTGGCAGGTAACCCATGCCAGAAAGCAAAGTCACCAGGAGTGAGCAAGGAGCTGATTCAGAAGTTCTAGCCTCACATCTGATCAGCTTTAAGCATGTGACATTTATAGATGACTTAATATTGGTCGATCCCTACTGCACGCAGTGGCTCACGCCTGTAATCCCAGCACTTTGGGAAGCCAAGGTGGGTGGATCACTTGAGTCCAGGAGTTTGAACCAGCCTGGCCAACATGGCAAAACACTGTCTCTACTAAAAATATAAAAATTAACTGGGCATGTTGGCACACGCCTGTGATCCCAGCTATTTGAGAGGCTGAGGCAGGAGACTCACTTGAACTTGGGAGGCGGAGGTTGCAGTGAGCCAAGATCATGCCACTGCACTCCAACAAAACAACAACAACAACAACAACTGTGGATCCTAAAGTTAGGTTTAGGATTAGGATTTGATTTGGATCTGGGTTTATGCTTGGCACAAAGTCAGGGGCCTGAGATGTTAGGTATTACTTACAGTTACAGCATTCCTTGGTTTTGCCTGGTATGGATATGCATGAATTTCAGTTACGATGTTTAAGAAATAACAGGAGTCCCCCAAAACGTGGTTCAGATTTCATTTTCCACAGTATATCGAGTGTGAATAATTGCATCAAGTGCAAACTTTGCTGTTAGCTGGTCAGTCCACAAATCACTATGTAAATAACAGACGCATAGACACGTATCATGATCAGCAAAAATCACGTCACTTCTTTCAAAGCCTGTTGGTGTCTGGTCACCGCACGTCGTTATTCAGTTCACACACAGCTAAGCGTGCAGCTGTGTTGCCTCCTTCTCTCTGGGTGATAACTCACTTGACATTTTACATAAATGGATAGTAAAAAGAAGGAATTAGCCAACAAAGATGAAAGTGCGGGCTGGGCGCGGTGGCTCACGCCTATAATCCCAGCACTTTGGGAGGCCGAGGTGGGCAGATCACTTGAGGTCAGGAGTTCCAGACCAGCCTGGCCAACATGGTGAAACCTCGTCTCTACTAAAAATACAAAAATTAGCTGGGCGTGGTAGCGGGCACCTGTAATCCTAGCTAGTTGGGAACCTCAGGCAGGAGAATTGTGTGAACCCGGGAGGCAGAGGTTGCAGTGAACTGAGATCATGCCACTGCACTCCAGCTTGGATGATAGAGTGAGACTCCATTTCAAAACCAAACCAAACCAAAACAAAACAAAACAAAATAAAACCCATAGATAGATATACTGATTGGCTCACACATTGCAGAGGTTGGCAAGCCCAAAATCTGCAAGGTAGGCTGGCAGATTGGGGACCCGGGCCAAGGAAGAATTGCTATTGTGGTTATCTGGAGGCAGAATTCCTTCTTCTTCGGGGCAGGTCAGTCTTTTTCTATTAAGACCTTCAACTGATTGGATAAGACCCACCACATTATAGAGGACCATCTGCTTTACTCAAACTCTACTGATTTAAGTGTTCATCTTATCTAAAAAATACTTTCACAGGAAACATCTGGAATAATGTTTCACCAATGATCTGCATACCATGGCCCTGCCCAAGTTCACACATAAAATTCACCATCCCAGGGTTATAGAAGAAATAGATGAGGGAAGTCACTGTGAGGAAAAGGACGAAGTCCATCCAGAGGAAGTGAGGCTGGCAGGAACTCCTGCGGACATTTCACAACACTGAAAGTTCAAAGGATACAATTTTGGAAACTGATCCAATCTTAGAAAGAAATATGACAATTCGCCAAGGCATAGAACAAGATGCTCCCTCTGTATCATTAGTTAAACAAGAAGCTGGCAAGCATGGTTCAGGCTATTCTTGATAGTTTTTACACAAAGAAATACAACACACACACACACACATATTTTTTCTTAGGGTCTCACTCCTGTCGCCTATGCTGGAGTATAGTGGCACAATCACAGCTGACTGCAGCCTCAACCTCCTGGGCTCAAGTGGTCCTCCCACTTCAGCCTCCTTGGTAGCTGGGACTACAGGCATGCACCACCATGCCTGGCTAGTTTTTATAGAGACAGGGTTTCACTATGCTGCCCAGGCTGGTCTCAAACTCCTGAGCTCAAGTGATCCTCCCTCCTTGGCCTCCCAAAGTGTTGGGATTACAGGCGTGAGCCACTGCTCCCAGCCTACAGTTATATTTTCAATGTTTCTAATGTTCTAAATTGAAGTATAAGAAAGAGATGTTAGTTTTACCTAGTTTTTCATTTCCTTAAACATTTATAGCCAACAGTAAGAGAGTTTTAGTGTTTTGACAGAAGATTGTTAAAGGTCACAGAATAATCTTATTTTATCCTGTTGGTGATTGAGATCTTTTTGTACACTTTCAGTTTGCACGGTCATTCTTACAGTCCACATGAATGTGCAAAGTGAGATTGGCTGTGTTATTTGTATCATCATCATCAGCATCATCATGTTCTCCACCAGGCAAGTGGGGTAAACACCCAGGATGCAAGGCCAGGGGTTGAACTCTTTTTGACTCCCTTTTCTTTTTTCTTTCTTTTTTTTTTTTAATTTTTATTTTTGTATTTTGAGACAGGGTCTTGCTCTGTCGCCCAGGCTGGAGTGCAGTGGTGCGATCTCAGCTCACTGCAACCTCTGCCTTCCAGGTTCAAGCGTTTCTCCTGCCTCAACCTCCTGAGTAGCTGGGATTACAGGTGCCCGCCACCACCCCTAGCTAATTTTTGTATTTTCAGTAGAGACAAGGTTTCACCATGTTGGCCAGGTTGGTCTTGAACTCCCGACCTCAGGTGATCCACTCAGCCTCCCAGAGTGTTGGGTTTACAGGCGTGAGGCACTGCGACAGGCCCTCCTTTTCTGACCCTGGGCAAAAAGGCCCCTGCAAAGTTCCAGGCCAAGGCCCTCTCAGCCCTGGCCAACATTGTCCTCTCTCTGCAGAGGCTGGGATACTCTACAGTCCCAGGAAGCTTCCAAAAAGGAGAGCTCAGTTTACAACCAATAAAAATAACTCAGGGGTGACAAACAGCTCCAGGGCCCCAGGGGACGCTCTTATGCAATCTGCCTTGATTTCACAAGCCCTACATGGAGCTGTCAGCAGAGGCAGACTGAGATGCACGCCCTGGCTGACACCACAGGGCAAGGCCCCTCTGGCTGCAATGACTGGGAACAGTGACTTTGGCTGTGACTGGAGGTGGCTCATTTACAACAGAAGACATGCAAAAATAGCGCAGCTGATGGATTGGTTGGTTGTTGGTTGACTGACTGATTTAAATACATAGTATTTCTTTTTCTTTTTAGGCAAAGTATACTAACAATGGATGATCTCAGTAGAAAATTCAGAGTATGCATAGGCCAAAAGGAAACAAATAAAAACTACCAGCTGGGCGTGATGGTTCACACCTGTGATCCCAGGATTTTGGGAGGCCGAAGCGGGAGGATTGCTTGAGCCCAGATGTTTGAGACCAGATTGGGCAATATAGGGAGACCTCAGCTCTACAAAACACAAAAAAATTAGCTGGGCATGGTGGTGCACACCTATGGTCCTAGCTACTTGAGAGGCTGAGCCTGGAGGATCACTTGAACCTGGTAGGTCAAGGCTGCAGTGAGCTATGATTATGCCACCACACTCCAGCCTGGGCAATAGAGCAAGACCCTGTCTCTAAACACAATAAAATACAAACTACCCATAGTCCAACTACCGAGAGAGCACCACTGTTACTTTCAGCCTTTCAGGCTTTTCTAGAAGCCAAAAGCATATAGTGCCGAGCTTCAGACTCTGATGCCAGACCACCTGAGTTCCACTCCTAGGCTGCTTAACATCTCTTGCACCATCTTCCCATCAGTGAAATGGGAATATCAATCACAGCCTTTATTACTTTGTTGTATGGTTAGGGATTTTCTGTTTTTTACTGTGAAAGAGGTCAAGAGGAAGAGCCTTGTGGTTAAGTCTTTGTGTACATTCTTTTCTTTTTCTTTCTTTCTTCTTTTTTTTTGAAATGGTGTCTCACTCTGTCGCCCAGGCTGACATGCAATGGCGCCATCATGGCTCACTGCAGCCTCAAGCTCCTGGGCTCAAGCAGTCTCCCTACCTCAGCCTCTCATGTAGCTGAGACTACAGGTATGTAGTCTCACACTTGGCTAATTTTTAAAATTTTTGTAGAGATGGGGTCTCACAAGTTTACCTAGGCTGGTCTTGAACTTCTGGCCTCAAGTGATCCTTCTGCCTTGGCCTTCCAAAGTGTTGGGGTTACAGGTGTGAGCCACTGCACCTCGCCTGTGTACATTTGGAATGATATCTTAGGATAAATTATTGGGAGGGCAACTACAGTGTCTAAGAGAGTACCCATTTTGTTTCATCTCCTGCCAAATCAGGAAACTGATTAAAATGAGCTACTTGGTGACTGGTAAATTAAATGAGCTATGCTGTGGCCCATGCCTGTAACCCCAGCACTTTGGGAGGCTGAGGCCAGCGCATCACTTGAGGTCAGGAGTTTGAGACCAGCCTGGCCAACATGGTGAAACCCCATCTCCACTAAAAATACAAAAATTAGCCGGGCATGGTGGTAGGCAACTGTAATCCCAGCTACTCAGGAGGCTGAGGCAGGAGAATCACTTGAACCTGGGAGGTAGAGGTTGCAGTGAGCCAAGATCACACCACTGCACTCCAGCCTGGGCGATTGAGAAAAAAATAAATAAATAAGAGAAGGATCTGGCTTGGAATCCTGGCTTGCCATCCCACTGGCTGTGTGACCTTGAGCAAGTGGCTTCCCATTGCTGGGCCCCAGTGTTCTGGGCTAATATGAAGCCATCTCTTAGGGAAGGTTGTCATCGGGTTAGAAATAATGGGTGAACAGGACAGAGCACGTAATCTGGTGCTCATCGTAAAGATCGTAGTAGTAGTAGCCATTATTATTTATACTAGCCCAGAGGGAGATGGATTTTCACATGCGTAACAGAAAGAGGCAGCGGGAGCAAGCTGTGGTCACAAGGGCATTCTGCAGGAATGTTACAGAGAGAAGAGAGAAGACCTCTGCCAGTGGGGTGGAGGCTGCTGGACTGAATGTTCATGTCACCCCCAAATCCTTATGTTGAAATCTTAACCCTGAATATGATGGTGTGAGGAGCAGGCCTTTGGGATGTAATCAGGTCATTCATGAATGGGGTTAGTGCCCTTATAAAAGGGACCCCAGAGAGTTCTCTCACCCTCTCTCCACCACGCGAGGATACAATGAGAAGTTGGCCGTCTGCATCCTGGAGGAGGGCCCCAACCAGAACCTGGCCATACTGACACTCTGATCTCGAAATTCCAGCCTCCAGAACTGTGAGCAATAAATTTCTGTTGTTGCTAAGCCACCCAGTCTATGGTACTTTGTTACAGCAACGAGGGCTTTCTGTAGTCCTGTTGGAGCTGGACAAACACTGAGGCCTCAGATGCCCAGAATTCATATGCTCCAAGAGGCTTCCTTTTGTTTTTGAGACAGAGTCTCCCTCTGTCACTGAGGCTGGAGTGAAGTGGTGCAATCTCGGCTCACCGCAACCTCTGCCTCTAGTGTTCAAGCAATTCTCCTGCCTCAACCTCCTGAGTAGCTGGGGTTACAGGCGTGTGCCACTACGCCCAGCTAATTTTTGTATTTTTAGTAGAGACAGGGTTTTGCCATATTGGCCAGGCTGGTCTTGAACTCCTGACCTCAGGTGATCTGCCTCGGCCTCCCAAAGTGCTGGGATTACAGGTGTGAGCCACCGCACCCGGTCTCCAGGAGGCTTTCTGTGTGTACACACGCATGTGTGTGCACACATACACACACACACGTTCATTCAGCTCAATGCAACCAGCCACTTTCTGCTGTTTAAGAGAAGACAAGCACTGTGCTAGGTGCTAGGGATACAGACATGAATGAGGCACAATTTTTGTCCTTAAGAAAAGCACAATTTTGTAGGAAACCACAAAAGGAAGCACGATCACATCATGTGTCCTGCGCAGTGGCTAAGATGGACTCCGGTGAGAGGCATTTAACCCATCCATATGCCTCTAAATCGAAATCCCATGCTGTTGCATATCCTTCCTAGATTGATTGAGAGCCAAGTTTCATACACAGGAGGGGATTCTTTATTGGGGGATGTGGTTTTTTTGAGTGACATGTTCTCAGGAGAAAGGAGAGAGGAGGCAGGACAGGGCAGGAGAGTTGCTAAGGATGGCAACTGCTGGAGTCTCAGCCTGGTCCCGCAGGGAGCTCTGGATACACAGTTTGCAGTTCGTTATTAATATTTCCTTCATTGAGGTAAGGGGCGGGCCCTTCACACCCTTGTCAATCAGTCATTGGCTGTGGGCTGCTCTGGGGGTGGGAGCAGAGAAGGTGAGACTGCTCCCACTTGATCGAGGACAGCCCTCTAGGAAAAGGTGCAACTCTGAGCTGTTAGCAGCCAAGACTCATAGTGGCAGGGAGTGAAGGCGCCAGCAGCATCTTTGAACCACTTCTCCTTCTCCATCCCCAACCCTTCACATGGGTAGGCTCCCAGGCCCACAGACACTGCAGATAGAAAAATCAAGTTTGGCCAGGCATGGTAACTCATGCCAGTAATCCCAGCACTTCAGGAGGCTGAGGCAGGAGGATCACTTGAGCCCAGGAGTTTCAGAGCAGCCTGGGCACCAAATCAAGACTGTACAAAAAATTTAAGAAGTTTGCCAGATACACTGGCTTTTTGCCTGTAGTCCCAGCTACTCAGGAGGCTGAGGCAGGAGGATCTCTGGAATCCGGGAATTTGAGGTTGCAGTAAGCTATGATCATGCCACTGCATTCCAGCCTGGGTAACAGAGCAAGAACCTGGCTCTAAATAAATAAATAAATAAATAAAGCCGAGTTTGCAGCTATCACAGACTCTCAGCTGAAAAAACCCTTAAAGATCACCTAATCCATCCCCTAGATTTTGATGATGAGGCCTGAAGAGGCTCAGTCATTTGTCTACAGCTGTTGTGACAAACTCCAAAGCCATAGGGGCCAGGCAGGAAAAACAGATGCTGTCTAAGGTTCTAAGGAGTGGTGAGGACTGTGGCAAACTGGAGACAGGGGTTTCTCTAATGGGTCGCAGCAGCCTGGTTCCTACAGCCACGAGGGAATGAGGGCCCAGAGTGATTGGCGCCTCTGAATTTCCCCAGAGAAGCTGGAAGTCGTGTGTGTGTGTGTGTGTGTGTGTGTGTGTGTTCTGTGTGAAATCTTTCTGTTTTGAAATGTTGGCAACTCTTGGAAATTCTTGAGAACACTGTATGGGCCAAGGAAAATATGTCAGTGGATGAGACTTGGCCCCAGGGTCACCAGTGTGCAGTGTCTGGTCTATGGCCTGAGGCACGTGGGAAGTGCAGCAAGGATTCCTGGATTAAGGGGCTTTCTATCATGCCAGTAACAGGACGAGAGAAGAAACAGACCAGATGCGGGAGGAGAGAAGGAAGAGGGCTCCAGAGGAAGGAAATGGGAACAGAAACAGAAACCTGGGGCTTGCGGGTGCAGGGGGACACTCATCTCCAGGGTCTCCAGGGTAAGCTGGAAGGGGAAGCCCGGGGCTTACTGGTATTGTTTTGTTTCGTTTTGTTTAAATGAGGATGAAATTCACATAACATTAACTGTTTTGTTGTTGTTGTTGTTGTTGTTTTGAGATGGAGTCTCTCTCTGTTGCCCAGGCTGGAGTGCAGTGGTGCAATCTTGGCTCACTACAACTTCTGCCTCCTGGGTTCAAGCGATTCTCCTGCCTCAGCTTTCTGAGTAGCTGGGATTACAGGCGCCCACCACCATGCCCGGCTAATTTTTGTATTTTTGTTAGAGACAGGGTTTCACCATGTTGGCCAGGGTGGTCTCGAACTCCTGACCTCAGACGATCTGCCTGCCTTGGCCTCCCAAAGTGCTGGGATTACAGGCATGAGCCACTGTGCCTGGCCTAACAATAACTATTTTAAAGCATACAATTCAATGGCATTAAGTATATCCACAATATTGTACAACCATCAGCTCTATCTAGGCTCCAAAACTCTTTTTTTTTTTTTTTTTTTTTTTTTGAGATAGGGTCTCACTCTGTCTCCCAGGCTGGAGTGCAGCGGCACAATCTTGGCTCACTGAAGCCTCAGTCTCCCCAGGCTCAAGTGATTCTCCCACCTCACGCCCCTCAAGTAGCTGGGAACATAAGTGCACGCCACTATGCCTGGCTAATTTTATTTTATTTTTGTATTTTTTGTAGAGACAGTGTTTTGCTATGTTGGCCAGGCTGGTCTTGCACTCCTGAGCTCAAGCGATCCACCCGCCTCAGCCTCCCAAAGTGCTGGAGATATAGGCATGAGACACTGTGCCTGGCCCCAAAACTTTTTATCGACTCAAATGGAAACCCCATACCTGTTAGCAAGCACTTCCCATTCCCTCCTTCCCAGCCCATGGCAACCATGAATCTGCTTTCTGTCTCCCTGGATGTACTCATTCTGGACAGTTCATATAAATGGAATTACAGACTATCTGGCCTTTTGCGCCTGGCTTCTTCCACTTAGCTAATTTTTTTTTTTTTTTTTTTTTTTTTTTTGGCAGAGTATCACTCCATCACCCAGACTGGAGTGCAGTGGCTCAATCCTTGATCTTGGCTCACTGCAACCTCTACCTCCCAAGCTCAAGTGATTCCCATACCTCAGCCTCCCGAGTAGTTGGGATTACAGGGATCTGTCACCCTGCCCAGCTACCTTTTGTATTTTTAGCAGACATGGGGTTTCGCCATGTTGGCCAGGCTGGTCTTGAACTTCTGACCTGAAGCGATCCTCCTGCCTCAGCCTCCCAAAGTGCTGGGATTACAGGCCGTGAGCCACCGCACCCGGCCGGCCTGTTTTGGGGTTCATCCACACTGTAGGATGCATCAATACTTCATCCATTGATGGTTATTCGGGTTGTCCTGCAGTTGTGGATAGACCCAGGGCTCACTTTTCAAAGGGAGGTAATCCACCCTAGCGTTTAGGAACATAGGGGCCACGGACCCATGAGGTACAGCAGACACAATGCCTAGGGCCCATGAAAATGTCTTCATTTCTCTCTCTCTTTTTTTTTGAGACAGAGTCTTGCTCTGTTACCCAGACTGGAGTGCAGTAGTGCGATCTTGGCTCACTGCAACCTCTGCCTCACGGGTTCAAGTGATTCTTCTGCCTCAGACTCTCGAGTAGCTGGGATTATAGGCATGCACCACCAGGCCTGGCTAATTTTTGGATTTTTAGTAGAGACGGGGTTTCGCCATGTTGGCCAGGCTGGTCTTGAACTACTGACCTCAAGTGATCCACTGGTCTTGGCCTCCCAAAGTGCTGGGATTACAGGCGTGAGCCACTGTGCCCGGCCCAGTGCGGTTTCCATTTCTCTTAAAATCAGAAGGGAAAAGTCCCTAACTTTCAGGATTGAATAAAATGTCTTAATTTTTAATTCTGCCTGGATTATATTTCTCTTTATATTAAGGCAGCATAAAATACAATTATGCTTGAAAGGGCCCACAAAGGCAGGAGTGCCTAGGACCCACAAAGACTGGCCCTGTGGGGACACAGAAAATTGAGGACTCGGGAGTTGGGAAAACTTCTTAGTAGCTTTGTGACTGTTCACCCCAGGGCTGGTCCTTGTCTTGTTGAATGTCGCATCCCTCACTGCCAGAACAGTGCTTGGCCCATCGTAGGGGCTCAATAATTTTTTTTTTTTTTTGAGACGGAGTTTCGCTCTTGTTGCCCAGGCTGGAGTGCAATGGCGCAATCTCGGATCCCCACAAACTCCGCCTCTCGGATTCAAACGATTCTCCTGCCTCAGCCTCCCGAGTAGCTGGGATTACAGGCATGTGCCACCACGCCCGGCTAATTTTGTATTTTTAGTAGAGAGGGGGTTTCTCCATATTGTTCAGGCTGGTCTCGAACTCACGACCTCGGGTGATCCACCCGCCTTGGCCTCCCAAAGTGCTGGGATTACAGGCATGAGCCACCGTGCCCAGCCAATAAATATTTTTTAAGTTAATTAATCTGAGATGAGTCACTGCACTCATCTCCCAGGCTGGAGCACAATGGCGCGATCTTGGCTCACTGGAACCTCCACCTCCTGGGTTCAAGCAATTCTCCTGTCTCAGCCTCCCAAGTAGCTGAGACTACAGGCACGTGCCACCATGCCCGGCTAATTTTTGTATTTTTAGTAGAGATGGGGTTTCACCATATTGGCCAGGCTGGTCTCAAACTACTGACCTCATGATCTGCCTGCCTTGGCCTCCCAAAGTGCTGGGATTACAGGCGTGAGCCACTGCACCCAGCCAGTGTCACTGCACTTTTCTATGCCTCGGTTTCCTCACCTGAGATGAGGAAAGCTAATGTTATCTCTCAGGGGAGTTGGGAGGATGAGGAAGCTTGCAGCACGTGGAAGCTTTCTTCCCTGGTTTTTTAATGGCAGGGTGGGTAGCAAATTTACTAGAAGCAAATTTCCATCAATACTGAGGAGCAAGGCAAAAAACAAGAAACAAAACTGGCCGGGCGCGGTGGCTCATGCCTGTAATCCCAGCACTCTGGGAGGCCGAGGCGGGCGGATCTCAAGGTCAGGAGATCGAGATCATCCTGGCGAACACGGTGAAACCCCGTCTCTACTAAAAATACAAAAAATTAGCCGGGCGTGGTGGCGGGCGCCTGTAGTCCCAGCTACTCGGGAGGCTGAGGCAGGAGAATGGTGTGAACCCGGGAGGCAGAGCTTGCAGTCAGCCGAGATCGCGCCACTGCACTCCAGCCTGGGGGACAGAGAGAGACTCCATCTCAAAAAAAAAGAAAAAAAAGAAACAAAACTAAGGAGCAGCTGGGCACGGTGGCTCACGCCTGTAATCCCAGCACTTTGGGAGGCTGAGGTGGGTGGATCACTTGAGGTCAGACGTTCAAGACTAGCCTGGCCAACATGGCGAAACCCCATCTCTCTACTAAAAATACAAAACTTAGCCGGGCGTGGTGGTGTGCACCTGTAATCCCAGCTACTCGGAAGGCTGTGGCAGGAGGATCGCTTGAACCCAGAGGCGGAGGCTGTAGTGAGCTGAGAGCACACCACTGTACTCCAGCCTGGTTGACAGGAGAGAAACTCTGTCTCGAAACAAACAAACAAAAAACTGAAGAGCATTTGCTGGGTCTCTGTGAGACTGGAAGCACATCAAGGATTTCTGCAGCTTGGCTGAGTGGCCCCAGGTCTGGAGAAAAGGGCTGATGAGCAGAAAAAGACACCAAGGAGACGTCAAGGGAAACGGTGCCTGAGAGAAATTGACAGAGAGAAATTCGGATGAACAGGGAAGGTTCAGTGAGTGTGTGTGTGCGTGCATGCGTCCACGTGTGAATGAGTGTGTGTGAGCACGTGCATGCGTCCACGTGTGAATGAGTGTGTGTGCGTGTGTGTCCATGTGTGAGTGGGTGTCTGTAAATGTGTGTTGTGTGTACATTTGAGGATTGTGTGTGTATGAATGTATGTGAGTATTGTGCATGCACACGTGTCTGTGTGAGACTAAATAATGTGTGAATGAGTGTCTTTGTGTGAATGTGTGAGAGTGTGCATGTCTGTGTGCGTGAGTGCTGTGTGTGCCTGTGAGACTTGTGTGTGAGTGTGTGAATGTGTGTGAACACGTGCGAATGTGTCTCTGTGACAATGTGTGTGAACCTCTGTGAACATGTGTCTGAATGGGGCATGTGAATATGTGTGTGTGAGTGCATATGCGATTACGTGTGCCTGTATGAGCGTGTCTGGGAGAGTGTGTGTGTTGTATGTGCATGTCTGTGTGTATGCGTGAATGAGGGGGGTGTGTGTGATTGTGTCTGAGTGTGTCTGGGAGAGTAAGTGTGTGTGCACATGTCTGTGAGTATGTGTGCATGTGTGAACGAGTGTCGTGTATGTGTGAGTGCATGTATGTGATTGTGTGTGTGTGTCTGAGCGTGTCTGGGAGAGTGTGTGAGTATTGTGTGCACATGTCTGTGTATGTGCATGTGTGAATGAGTGTCGTGTGTGTGATTGTGTGTGTCTGTATATGTCTGGGAGAGTGTGTGAGTGTTGTGTGTGCCTGTCTGTGAGTGTGTATGTGTGAATGAGGGGCACGTGTGAGTGCGTGTGTGTGTGCGCGCGCGTGTGTGTCACGGGTGAGGGGATGGGGGCGTGGGGAGGAGCAGGGAGCTGAAAGCCTCCCCGGCCCACAGATCTGGGAATTCCACTGTGACTCCAGTTGCGGCTACACTTTCGGCTGGATGCTGGGGGCAGCAGTGCAGTGGGGTCTGAAAGCGGAATGACCCTATCTGGGTTTTGTCTTGATGAGAGAAAATTCTTTGCCCAAGGCAACAGTCCCCCCGGGGCGTGCCCTCCGCTGTGGGTGACTGAGAGCTCCAGAGAGCCCAGGGATCCTCTTCAAACCCAATTTGCATTAGAAATCAATGTGGGTTTCTTTTTTTTTTTTTTTTCCCCCTTGAAGCCCCAAGATGCCAAGACCCTCGAGCAAGTAATAATGATGCTTTTCAGACCAGGACTTCAAGCTGCTTCACTGTGATTAGTCTCCTTTTAGACACAGGAAAACTGGGGTGACTTGAAGGAATTCTGCTGACAGGTCAAAGGGAGGCTGTGGCCTTCCCGCCAAGGTGACCTCAGGGGTCACAGAAACCTCGGCTCCATGCTGGGTCCCACTTACCTGGGGGCCATGGCACAAGGAGATCCTGCTGGTTTCTGTCCAGAAGTAAATTGAGTCTCTTGTGGATGTCTCCAGGGTGTAACCCTGCAGGCTGAAGCTGCCTGTCTCCTGTGGGGGCAAAAGGCAGGCTGAGCACAGATTCCAAAGGCCCTTTTGTGGTCAGCTCTGACACGAGGCAGTGGAGTGTCATGGAATAAGAGGCAGCTTACCCATCAGAATGGGGTTTGAGTGCTGTGAGAATGACCTCGGTTTCCCCATCTGTAAAATGAGGAAAAGTATCCTCCTACATAGGGCTTATTGTCTGAGAGCTAAATTGATGTAGAAAGTTTAGCACGGTGTAGGTGCACACTCAGGAGTGGTAAACCGTTAGAGTTATGGCATCTTTACCATCATCATCATCATCATCATCAATACCATCATCGACTCATGAAAAAGCCACTGCCCTAGCAAAGGAGGTCCTGAGAATTCCAGAGTTCCAGGATCTGAGGGGGCTAAGAAAACTCACTCCAGGCCAGGCACGATGGCTCGCATATGTAATCCCTGCACCTTGGGAGGCCAAGGCGGGAGGATCACTTGAGACCAAGAGTTCAAGACCAGCCTGGCCAACGTGGCAAAACCCCGTCTCTACTAAAAATACAAAAATTAGCTGGGTGTGGCTGCCTGTGCCTGCACCTGCAGTCCCAGCTACTTGGGCGACTGAGGCACAAGAAGCACTTGAACCTGGGAGGCAGAGGTTGCAGTGAGCCAAGATCGCGTCACTGCACTCCAGTCTGGACGACAGGGCGAGACTCTGTCTCAAAAAAAAAAGAAAAAAAGAAAACTCACCCTACACTCCCAGCCCCTCCAGGGCAGTGGCGCTGATGGATGATGTTAATTCTGCAAAAGCAGTGACGAGATTTCTGGTAGCAGGTCACCATTCCCCTGGTTTCCTGAGAACCTTGGTGAAGCAGGCTGGAGAGGTTCTGAGAAACCCACCATCAAGAATGCTTGATGTCGGGCTGGCGGGGCGGGGGCATTGTGCACGTCTGTAGTCCCAGCTACTCCAGAGGCCAAGGCGGTAGGATCCTTTCAGTCCAAGAGTTCAAGACCAGCCTGCGCAACATAGTGAGACCCTGTCTTGAAGTTAAAAAAAAAAAAGGAATCAAGATGGAACGTTTTTTATTTAGTCTCTGAAAGATCTGGACTAAGGATATGTGTTCATAGCCCCCAAATGGAAGATTGATTTGAAGGGAGTAGGTGTTCTGGAAAGAGGATGGGTTTGGAGGAAACCTCCAAATCCTGCAGACCTGGGTTTGAATCCCACTTCCGCTCTGTCTTAGCTCTGTGGGTATGAGTGAACAATGCCACCTTTCTGAGCCTCAGTCACCTTGTTTGTAAAATGGCCACAGTAATAGACTTGTCAGAGGCATTTGAACCAGAGCAACTCCATCTTGAATAGGAGCTGGGTAAAATGAGGCTGAGACTTACTGGGCTGCGTTCCCTGATGGTTAGGTATTCTAGGTCACAGGATGAGATAAAAGATCAGCACAGAATACAGGTCATAAAGACCTTGCTGATAAAACAGGCTGCAATAAAGAAGACAGCTAAAACCCACCCAAACCAAGATGATGATGACAGTGACCTCTGGTCGTCCTCACTGCCACACTCTCACCAGCTCCAAGACAGTTTACAAATGCCTTGGTAACGTCTGGAAGTTACCCTATATGGTCTAAAAAGGGGAGACATGAATAATCCACCCCTTGTTTAGCAATAATCAAGAAATAAGGCCAGGCACGGTGGCTCATGCCTGTAATCCTAGCACTTCGGGAGGCCGAGGCAGGTGGATCACCTGAGGTCAGGAGTTCAAGACCAGCCTGGCCAACATGGTGAAACCCCATCTCTACTAAAAATACAAAAATTCTTTGATTCCTTTACTTTCTTAATAAACTTGCTTTCCCTTTATGGACTCACCTTGAATTCTTTCTTGCAGAAGATCTAAGAACCCTCTCTTGGGGTCTGGATCTGGACTCCTTTCCTGTAACAGACCCGCTTGGATGACATACATCAGATGCAGGCACACAGTAGGAGGCTTAAAATAGTGGCTCTGTTGGTTTAATCCATTCAATCGGCGAGCAAACTGGTTTGAGACCATTGAAATGATTCTTGACAGTGAAACAGGGTGTTTACTCAGGCCACAAACATTTACAAAGAACCTAGTATGTGCCAGATCCCAGGAACTCCAAGGGGAATGAAACAGGACCCCTGTCTAGTGGGGAGAGAAGGATCCAAGTGGAGGAGGCGAATGTCTTCTGATCGCAGGCCCCCAGGAGACGCCTCTCAGGCAACAAGCAGAGGGTGGCGTGCTCCTCTAGGGAGCTTCCCTGGCAGCTGGGCCTCCAGGGAGAGTAGACCCACCCACAGAGTCTCGAGGGACCTGCCATGGTGGTCCTCAGAGACACAGGATGACAGTGACAGGCTTTCTAAGCCCAGAAACAAAACAATAGAAGAAGAAAAACATTGCTGAGTTGTCCATTGGGAGGGTGTCCTGGAAAGAGAACTGCGTTTAGAAACATGGACATGCGGTAGGGGGCCGGGTGCTGTGGCTCACGCCTGTAATCCCAGCACTTTGGGAGGCCAAGGAGGGCGGATCACCTGAGGTCAGAAGTTCAAGACCAGCCTGGTCAACATGGTTGACCATCTCTACTCAATATACAAAAATTAGCCGGGCGTGGTGGCGGGTGCCTGTAATTCCAGCTACTCGGGAGGCTGAGGCAGGGGAATCTCTTGAACCTGGGAGGTGGAGTTTGCAGTGAGCCAAGATCGCGCCATTGTGCTCCAGCCTGGGTAACAAGAGCGAAACTTCGTCTCAAACAAAAAAAGAAAGAAAGAAACATGGACCATGGATGTGTGGCCGGGCACGGTGGCTCACGCCTGTAATCCCAGCACTTTGGGAGGCTAAGATGGGTGGATCACCTGAGGTCAAGAGTTTGAGAACAACCTGGCCAACCTGAGGAAACCGTGCCTCTGCTAAAAAATACAAATATTAGTCAGGCATGGTGGTGCATGCCTGTAATCCCAGCTACTCCGGAGGCTGAGCTGGGAGAACTGCTGGAACCCAGGAGGCGGATGTTGCAGTGAGCCGAGATCGCGCCATTGCATTCCAGCCTGGACGATAAATCAAGACTCAGCCTCAAAAAAAAAAAAAAAAAAAAAGACACCAAATTGGATTTAGGGCCCACCCTAATCCAGTAGGATCTCATCTGAACTAATTACATCTAGGCCTTATTTCCAAATAATGTTGCATTCATCAGGGATGAACATGAATTGGAGTGGAGTGGGGCAGCAGAACACTGTGCCACCCTATACACCACCCAAGCATGGGAGTCATAAAGCCCTGGGTTCAAAGCCCAGCTCTGACACTAGTGAGTGGTGGATTTGGGGTAGACTTCTTAACCTCTCCAGGCCTCTTTTTCCTCATCAGAGAAGTGGGGGAATAGGTCAGGTGGAGTCGCTCATGCCTGTAATCCCAGAACTTTGGGAGGCCAAGGCGGGCAGATTACTTAAGGTCAGGAGTTCAAGACCAGCCTGTCCAACATGGTGAAACCCCGTCTCTACTAAAAATACAAAAATTAGCTGGGTGTGGTGGTGCACGTCTGTAATCCCAGCTACTCGGGAGGCTGAGGCACGAGAATGGCTTGAATCTGGGAGGCTGAGGTTACGGTGAGCCCAGATGGCACCACTGCACTCCAGCCTGGGTGACAGAGCAAGACTTTGTCTCAAAAAAAAAAAAAAAAAAAAAAAAAAAGAAAGGAAGAAAAAGAAAAATGAGGGAATAATGCATGCCCAGCAGGGCTGTTCTAAAGATCCGACGAATGTATGTAGAACACATAGTAGGTTTCATAAAACAGAAAAGGTAATTGTCTCTATTCCTGGAAGGATCTGCCTGGAACCTGCCGGCCCCCTGCAGCTGGCTTCTTAAATGCCTGCAGCTGGTGCAAGCCTCTCACTCCAAGATGTTTCCACCCCAGACACATCCCAGAGCCCCCTGCATCTCCTGGGAGGACGAGGATGGATGGAAGCGTGCTGCCAACGCTGGGACACCTGCTTGCTTTCTGGGCAGTGGCCAGGAAATCGCATCTGCTGCCAGAAGAGAGCACCTGCACATCCCGGAGAAGGGAAGGGGACAGAGCCGTGTGATTCTAGCAGAGGAACACCCATAGGATTCCTTCTGTTGTTCCCAAGGTCCAGGCTCCCAGGCTGAGTAGGCAGGAAGGAGAATGTGTCTTCACACAGGAAGCCTCACTGCCCAGAACATGGGACAGATCTAGCTGGAGCTGTGCTCAAACAGCTGTGGAGGCATTATAAATCTCTCTCCCCGAGATGAGGTTCAGAGGCTCTTGACATGCCCTGCTAATGGTAAATCTTCCAGTGCCCACAGAGCAAGCCCTGGACTCTTAGAGCATCAAGGTGAGACTGCCTGCCCCCCTTAAGCCTGTTAATGGCATCAGTGATGTATTCCCCTCCAAATGTGGAAGGCTGCCTCTTTCTTCATTGGAAGCATCAAGGGAGTTTTAACTGTAAAACAGACTGTGCTTCAAATCCCATCTAAATGCCTCATCCTGAAGCTCTGACCTGCCACTTTTCTGCAAATGACACTGGGTGATTTGAATGGGATTAGATTGGACAGTGGCCCCTGGCTGTTGTTTAAGTTTGTGTGGGTTTTGTTGTTTGTTTGTTTTAATGCAACCTGTCTTTAAATCTTCACTTTCAAAAAAAAAAAAAAGTGGTCATTAGCCTTATTTTTTATTTAGAGGATGTGAAGTCAGAAGTTCCCTTCCCTGATTTATTACCTCATAGGTTTATGACTTTGAAGAATCATTTCATCTCTTTTAGTTTCCTCATCTGTAGAAAGGTGATTGTAAACTCTTTCTTATCGGCTGGATACAAAGATGAAATGAGATATCCTATGGCTATCAATCAGAGTTTTGAGTTGTAAACAATCCATGGTATGCTGATAAATAGACTCTTCCAAAACAAAAAAAGCCCTGATTTGTAGCAGTTGCCAATTTCCGTGGTGAAACTACACCCATCTTGGCTGATTTTAAGTGACCAACATGATGTCACTGAAAATTGAATTGGGAAGGGGTGCAAACCTTCTCCTGAGCTGGTAGGAGCTGACTCCAGCACGCCCCTGAAGACAACAGATACCAATGCTGACTAATTTTATTAGGAAAAATATATACCCAAAGGATATGGGGTAGCTTGCAGAATTTCCAGCAGGCAAATTGGATTTGGAGTTAGTTTGTGCATTCAGGAGTAACTCCCACATTGCCCCAGAAGTCGTCCAATAAGTGAAGATGCTACTGCTGTTCCCTCTGTCACAGACACAGTTATATCCTCCCTTATAGCCAACAATTCTGGACACCAGTCAGTGCCACTAAAACTGCAGCCACTGACATCTCTGAAAATGCCATGTAGCTGCTGGGCTGCTACTACTCCCAGTTAGCACTGAGATGTACAGTTTCTATTTCCTCCACAATTAGTGTCTCATTTAATCTGGGAAAGTGCACCTGATTGGTGGAGCCAAGTCATGTGCCTGTGCCCTAGCTGCAAGGGAAGCTGGGGAAGGGAGAGTGTTAGTTTCTTGTGACTGCCATAATGAGTTCTCTAATGTTGTAATGAAGTCTCTAGAGGAGGACCCTTCCTTGCCTCTTCCAGCCTCTGTATCTCTCTTCTGTGTGGCTCCTAAAATGTTACTTGTCATTGCATTTAGGGCCCACTCAGTCAATCCAGGGTGATCTCATCTTGAGATAATACTTAAGCTTAATTACATCTGCAAACACAGTTTTTTCAAAAAGAGTCAAAAGGTAAATTATTTTCAGTGTCAAAGGTCATACAGTTGCAACTACTTAACTGCTGTTGTAGCATGAAAGCAGCATAGACAATATGTAAATGAATAGATGTGGCTGTGTGCCAATAAAACTTTATTAACAAAAACAAGTGGTGGGCCAGATTTGGCCCATGGGCTGTAGATGGCTGACTCCTATTCCAGAACATGAAGGAGCCCAGCTTGTGATGAGTGCTCAGTAAGTGTGGGTTGAGTCTTCCGTCTACAGTGTCCTTGAAATGTATTGAACATGGGGACCAAGCGAGGGCAGAAATTAATAAAGAATTCAAAGAACACTAACACTCTGTGGCCCATATTCTTTTTTTTTCTTTGAGACAGGGTCTCACTTTGTCCCCAGGCTGGAGTGCAGTGGCTTGAGCTTGGCTCATTGCAACCTCCGCCTCCCGGGTTCAAGCAATTCTTCTGCCTCAGCCTCCCCAGTAGCTGGGACTATAGGCACCATGCCACCATGCCTGGCTAATTTTTGTATTTTTAGTAAAGATAGGGTTTCACCACGTTGGCCAGGCTGGTCTTGAACTCCTGGTCTCAGGTGATCCACCCACCTTGGCCTCCCAAAGTGCTGGGATTACAGGCGTGAGCCACCAAACCCTGACTTATTTTGTATTTTTTGTAGAGATGGGGTTTTGCCATGTTGCCCAAGCTGGTCTCGAACTCCTAGACTCAAGCAATCCACCTGCCTCAGCTTCCCAGAGTGTTGGAATTACAGGTATGAACCACCGTGCTCAGCTCCACATTCTTGAATAGACTACACAAAGGTGAAAAATTGGACCCCCAAAAATAAATACACAAAAATCAAGTTTGTGAGATGAGTGTTACCTGTTTTGGAACCCAGGGCTAATGTGGCTTACAATTTGATCTCTGGTTTCATGCTCAGTGACAGCATCCAGCCAGAGACCGGGGTGCCTCTGGTCATCAGGAAGACCAGGGAAGAATGTAGAGGGATTTACACAAATTCACCCCATTGGAGGAGAAACACAGGCAAAAGCCTAAGTGTCACGCTGACAAAGAACAGAAACTATCAACTGCTGCCTCCATCAGGAGTGAATCACATGAAATCCAGATTTTCTACTTCCAGGATTGCAAAACATCCAAGAAACAGAGTCTGAAGGGTAAAAGAAACAAAGAGTGATAGCGTGAAAAATAAATCAGCTCTGAAGGCTGCCGGACCTGGGTCCAATTCTCAGTTGCCTGGTGACCCAGACCAGTCACTTTACTTTCCAAGCCTCAATTTCCATATCTGTAAAATGAGGAGTGTTAGACCCATCTCACCTCCTGGTTACTAGAATTAAACTACACAATTTTCATCATAAAACATAGCACCTGGCCGAGTGCAGTGGCTCACGCCTGTAATCCCTACACTTTGGGAGGCCAATCTGGGTGGATCACCTGAAGTCAGGAGTTCAAGACCAGCCTGGCCAACATGGTGAAACCCTGTCTCTACTAAAAATATAAAAATTAGCTGGACATGGCGGCATATGCCTGTAATCCCAGCTGCTTGGGTGGCTGAGGTAGGAGAATAGCTTGAACCCGGGAGGCAGAGGTTGCAGTGAGCCAAAATTGCACCACTGCACTCCAGCCTGGGCAATAGAGTGGGAATCTGTCTCAAAAAAAGAAAAAAACAACAAAAAGCACCTATTGAATGCTCAGTAAATATTAGTTCCTTCCAAGCATGACAATGGAATGAAGACTGAAGTTTTCTGTTTTTTGTTTTTGGGGTTTTTTTTGTTTGTTTGTTTGTTTTTTAAGACAGGGTCTTGCTCTGCCGCCCAGACTGAAGTGCATTGGTATGATCATGGCTCATTGAAGTCTCCAATTCCTGAGCTCAAGAGATCCTCCTGCCTCAGCCTCTTGAGTAGCTGGGACTACAGGCATGCGCCACCACACTTGGCTAATTTTTAAATTATTATTATTTTTTGAGACGGAGTTTCACTCTTATTGGTCAGGCTGGAGTGCAATGGCGCAATCTCAGCTCACTGCAACCTCTGCCTCCTAGGTTCAAGTGATTCTCCTGCCTCAGCCTCCCAAGGAGCTGGGATTACAGGCATGTGCCACCACACCCGGCTAATTTTGCATTTTTAGTAGAGACGGGGTTTCTCCATGTTGGTCAGGCTGGTCTCAAACTCCTGACCTCAGGTGATCTGCCCGCCTTGGCCTCCCAAAGTGCTGGGATTACAGGCGTAAGCCACGATGCCCAGCCCTAAAATTTTCTGTAGAAACTGGAGTCTTTGTTGCCCAGGCTAGTCTTGAACTCCTGGCCTCAAGCAATCCTCCCACCTTGGCCTCCCAAAGTGCTAACATTACAGGCATGAGCCACCACAACCTGCCTAGGAGTGAAGTTTTGAAAACTTACATACCAGAATATATATAGCCAAGTAAGTGTGGTCCCTTAGAGGAGGGCCCTGGGGAAGGCTGACCCGTGACCAGCCACACTGTCACTGCACAGCACATTTTGGGAGTTGGTCTCTGATTAGCCTTCAGGGCCTCTGCAGTTTCTCCTGACTCTCCTCAGTGGTGGCAGATTCCCATTCTTGGAGAGTGAACTCAATTTTTAGACAGAGCCCAAGGTTAGATAGAATGGGGTCTGATGAATAAAGAAAGAGATGAAGCTGGCTGGGATCGCTTTGGGTGAGAAAACACTGGTGGCCCACAGGTCTGAATAAGTAACTATAATAAATAATAAAATAATAATTGTAAAATAATGAGCAGAGGTTACTTGTGTGGCTTGGAGCTTGGTTCTGAAGGAACTCCCCAGAGAGGAACTCCAAAAAGCCTTTGTGGCTGGGTGCGGTGGCTCACGCCTGTAATCCCAGCACTTTAGGAGGCCGAGGCGGGTGGATCACTTGAGGTCAGGAGTTCGAGACCAGCCTGGCCAACATGGTGAAACCCCATCTCTACTAAAAAATAATACAAAATTAGCCCGGCATGGTGGTGTGCTCCTGTAGTCCCAGCTACTTGAGAGGCTGAGGCAGGAGAATCGCTTGAGCAGGGGAGGTGGAGATTGCAACGAGCCGAGGTTGTGCCACGGCACTCCAGCCTGGGCAACTGAGTGAGACTTCATCTCACAAAAAAAAAAGGCTTTGAGTTTTGGAGCTTTGTTGAAATGAGTGACTAAGCCCCTGGAGGTATAGCTATACTTGTTTGGAAGGGCAAGTTCTGGGGCATTTGCAGTCTCCGTAAGTTATAATCGTATCTTGTGGAATTCAATCATTCAACTTTTTTTTTTTAAATTTGAGACAGTCTTGCTCGGTCATCTAAACTGCAGTGCAGTGGTGCAATCTCAACTCACGGCAACTTCTGCCTCCCGGATTTGAGCAATTCTCATGCCTCAGCCTCTCGAGAAGCTGGGATTACAGGCACCAGCCATCTCACCTGGATAATTTTTCTATTTTTAGTAGAGACAGGGTTTCACCATGGTGGCCAGTCTGGTCTCGAGCTCCTGGCCTCAAGTGATCTGCCCGCCTCACCCTCCCAAAGTGCTGGGATTACAAGCATGAGCCACCATGCTAGGCCTCATTCAACATTTTTTTTAAGAGATGGGATCTCGCTCTGTCACCCAGACTGTAGGACTGTGGTGTGATCACAGCTCACTGCAGCCTCGAACTCCTGGGCTCAAGAGATCCTCCCGCCTCAGCTTCCTATGTAGCTGGGACTACAGGCGTGCACCACAACACCCAGCTAATTTTTTGTTTTTATTTTTGTAGAGATGGGGTCTTGCTCTGTTGCCCAGGCTGGTCTTGAACTCCTAGCCTCATGCGATCCTCCTGCCTCCACCTCTCAAAGCATGAGGATATAGGTGTGAGCCACTGTGGCCAGCCCTCATTTAACATTTATTGAGCATTAACCCCTCTGCTAGGCACTGGGTGTGTGCTGAATATGACTTGGTCTCTATACTCAGGTTTGCAGCCATAAAGAGATATTATCACAATTCTAATATGGAAACATCTAGACAACGCCACCGTGGTCTGTGCAAATGTGCTCCTAGAGTTGTGCAGTGCACAGCCTATACAATGGTATATGGCAGCCTTGCTTCATGGGAGGAAAAAGTATGGAAGTAAGTTATATTCATGGGGTCAGGGAGACATTTGATCTAGAGCATTAGGGAGATGAAGGAGTTTTTAAGGCAGAAGCCGGTAGAAGGGAGTAGGAAATTCCAGACCCAGGAACAGTGCGTCCTGAAGTACAGAGAAGGGTAAGGTACGTTCCCCAAGTGCTGAGACATCTGGTGGAACTACAGGGAAGAGGCAGGCGGGCTGGGGGCAAGGAGGCTGAGGGGACTGATTTTTCCAGTGCATGAGTCAAGATCCCTCAGGGGCTTCTGGGGGAGTCAACGAGGCTGCTGAATGTCAGGCATTCCATTCCTCTGAGTGGGTTTCGCAGCCTCTGCTGGAGAGAAAGATTGGAGAAGGAACACGGGCCTTGGCATGGCACAGACCAGATCTGGATCCCAACTCTGCAGGCGGTAGATGGTGTGTTATCCTGCAAATTCCTTAATTTACAGAAGAGCAGAAGTTTCTTTATCTTCAGAGGAGCAGGAGTTTCTTTATCTGCAAACTGGAGGTCACAGGCGGGGCGCAGTGGCTCACACCTCTAAATCCCAGCACTTTGGGAGGCCGAGGCGGGAGGATGGCTTGAAAGGAGTTCAAGACCAGCCAGGCAATACAGCAAGACCCCCATCTCTACAAGAAAATTTAAAAATTAGCCAGGCATGATGGTGTGGGCCTGTGGTCTCAGCTACTTGGGAGGCTGAGGTGGGAGGATCGCTTGAGCCTGGGAGGTTGAGGCTGCAGTGAGCTATGATCATGCCACAGGCAAAGAGCAAGACCTCGACTCAAAAAAAAAAAAAAATAGAGGGCACAGTCATGCCTACTGTTAAGGATTGGTGACATGGGCAGGGGCTGTAAAAGTTATCTTCTTTCCTCTCCAACCTCTGGTCTCTGTCAATCTCTTTATGTAGGTCTCTTTGTGTAGGGGACAGAAACCAATAATTAGGGTGCTGACAGCACCAGCCCTCTGCGGGCTGAGTAAGTAGGCGATTGTTGCAGTTTCTGAAAGTCTGTCTCTAGCTATTTGGCCCAAGTTACCACATTTCTCGTTAGCAGCACGAGCCGTTTCTCTGGGTTTAGCATTGCCCTCGCTCCACAGTGGTCTTTTAAAATGCAAATCTGCCCCTTTGAGTCTCCAGTGCCTCAGGGTAAACTACTTTTATCAGTGTTTTCCATCTGCCCTGGAATGGGGAGGTAATGGGAGTCGCATACCTTGGGCTGGGAGGGCGGCAATGACGGGGCCCGCTCGTTAGTCCCCAGAGAGATGGCAAGGAAGCTCCTGGGATTGGAATGGAAAGGAAAAAGGAAAAGAGTGTCGACGGCATTGAATTCCCCCATGCACGGTGTTGTGTGGGGTCCTTTGGATGCCCCGAATTACCTGGGTCTACGTGTGCAGGCAGGATGGGGCGGGGCTGGCATGCAAGCTCTAAGGAGACACAGGTACTGACCTCCTGGGACTCACAGTCTGGCTGGAAACTAAGCGTAAACAGATAAGCAAGATACGATGGGGCAAGGAAATGCTGGAATCATAATGGTTACCTGTTTTCTGAGCATTCAGTATGAACAAGGTCTCATGCTAAGAACCTTATCACCTGTTATCTCTACCCTTGAGTAACCACTTGACAGTTGAGGAAACTGAGGCCCAGAGGGGCTAAAAATGACTGGCCCAAGGTCAGAAAGCAAACAAGGGGCATAGATTCCATAAGCCAAGTTCTCAACTGCTGTGTTGGCCGGGGGTGCTGTGGCTCACTCCTGTAATCCCAGCACTTTGGGAGGCTGAGGCAGGCGGATCATTTGAGGCCAGGAGTTCGAGGCCAGCATGGGCAAAATGGCGAAATCCTGTCTCTACTAATAATACAAAAATTATCTGGGTGTGGTGATGCACGTCTGTAATCCCAGCTACTCAGGCAGGAGACTCACTTGAACCCAGGAGGCGGAGGTTGCAGTGAGCCGAGATTGTGCCACTGCACTCCGGCCTGGGCGACGGAGCAAGACTCTGTCTCAAAAACAAAAACAACACCCCCCACCCCCACCAAAAAAAATAAAACAAAATCAACTGCTGTCTTTTGTAGTGTCAGAAGCGTGTGAACCAGGACAACTCTATCTTAAATAGGAACTGGGTAAAATGAGGCTGAGACCTACTGGGCTACATTCCCAGACGGTTAAGGCATTCTAAGTCACGGGTGAGACAGAAGGTCAGCACAGAATACAGGTGATAAAGACCTTGCTGATAAAACAGGCTGCAATAAAGGAGCCAGCCAAAACCCATCAAAACCAAGATGGCGACGAGTGACCTCTGGTCGTCCTCACTGCTACACTCCCACCAGCACCATGACAGTTTACAAATGCCATGGCAACGTCGGGAAATTACCCTATCTGGTCTAAAAAGGGGAGGCATGAATAATCCATCCCTTGTTTAGCATATCATCAAGAAATAACCATAAAAATGGGCAACCAGCAGCTCTCAGCTGCTCTGTCTGTGGAGTAGCCATTCTTTTTTATTCCTTGATAAACTTGCTTTCACTTTGCACTGCGGACTCTCCCTGAATTCTTTCTTGCGCAATCCAAGAACCCTCTCTTGGGGTCTGGATCGGGACCCCTTTTCTGTAACAGTAGGACCCACCCTGGAAGATCAGCCTGTTTGTCTATGTTCAAGCCTGGGGTTTGCCCCCTCTCCTGGGCTTGGGGTCCGGCTCTGCCTTTGC
This sequence comes from Homo sapiens, assembly GCF_000001405.40. Classification (NCBI taxonomy): domain Eukaryota; kingdom Metazoa; phylum Chordata; class Mammalia; order Primates; family Hominidae; genus Homo; species Homo sapiens. Next base: position 116,428,989 of record NC_000012.12, read on the forward strand.
TTCTCATTGCAGCATCTTGGACAAGACCGAACCCTTCTAAGCCTCTATTGTCTCATTCATGAAGATGAAATAAAAGAGAGAATTGCAAATTTGAAATAGTACAATATAAAAAATGTATGAAATGGCCGGACGCAATGGCTCATTCCTGTAATCTCAGCACTTTGGGACGCCAAGGCGGGAGGATCACCAGAGGTCAGGAGTTTGAGACCAGCCTGGCCAACGTGGTGAAACCCCGTCTCTACTAAAAATATAAAAATTAGCCGGGCGTAGTGGCGGGCACCTGTAATCCCAGCTACTTGGGAGGCTGAGGCAGGAGAATCGCTTGAGCCTGGAAGGCGGAGGTTACAGTGAGCCAAGATCATACCATTGCACTCCAGCCTAGATGACAAAAGTGAGACTCCATCTCAAAAAAAAAAAAAAAAAGAAAAAGAAAGGAAAAGAGAAAAGGCCAGGTGCAGTGGCTCATGCCTGTAATCCCAGCACTTAGGGAGGCCGAGGTGGGCGGATCACCTGAGGTCAGGAGTTCAAGACCAGCCTGACCAACATGGAAAAACTCTATCTCAACTAAAAAAAAAAAACAAAACGAAACAAAACAAAATTAGCCGGGTGTGGTGGTGCATGCCTGTATTCCCAGCTACTCAGGAGGCTGAAGCAGGAGAATGGCTTGAACCCGGGAGGCAGAGCTTGCGGTGAGCCAAGATTGCACCATTGCACTCCAGCCTGGGCAACAAAAGTGAAACTCCATCTCAGAAAAAAAAGAAAAAAAATGTATGAAATGAAGTCTCCCTTTGGGTGCAAAATGTAGAATAATGTAAACCTCTCCAAAAAGACAAAAAAAAAAAAAAAAAAAAGCATCAATAATTGCATCATTTCGGAGCTGCATGGGCCAAATGAAGCCGAGCCATGGTGCACTATTGCCTTGTGTTAGCGATACTTTAGTTGATAAATGAAACTTTCCCAGGGTTATCCTTGGGTTATTTTGAGGTTTTAATTATGCAAAGATCTTCAAGAATGCATCCCTTTTTAAAATGTGACCTCCCTTATTACTGTATATGTGTATGTTTAAAAAGATGTAACACATATAAATTATGGGTCCCCATATGGCTCCTTCTACGGACTTAGTTGCATTCAAAGATCCACAGTCTAGCTATCAAATACTAATTAAATCCATACCGTATGTAGTCCAAACCCCGCAGCAACACTGAATACAAGCTGTGCCCTCCTTTTTCCCAATCCCAACTCCAAAACTCCCAGACGACTCTCCCCTCCCTCCTTTCTCCCAGCTCCTTGTTATAGAGATGAAATAAGTTTCTCTAAAAAGTCCTCCTGTCAGATATATCTAATGTAAATGATGAGTTAATGGGTGCAGCACACCAACATGGCACATGTATACATACGTAACAAACCTGCATGTTGTGCACATGTACCCTAGAACTTAAAGTATGATGAAAAAAAAGAGAAAAATAAAATAAAATAAAATAAAATAATAAATAAATAAATAAAAGTCCTCCTGCCCACTTTTCTCACTGTCTCATCTCAAGTCTGTATTTTATTTATTTATTTTGTTAGAGACAGGATCTCGCTCCCTCTCCCAGGCTGGGGTGCAGTGGCATGATCATACCTCAATGCAGTCTCGAACTCCTTGGCTCAAGTGATCTTCCTGCCTCAGCCTCTTGAGTAGCTGTGACCTGCAGGCACGTACCACTGCACCTGGCTAATCTTTTTAAAAAAAATTTTTTAGAGATAGCTGTCTTATTGGCCAGGTGCAGTGGCTCACATCTGTAATCCCAGCACTTTGGGAGGCCGAGGCGGGCAGATCACAAGGTCAGGAGTTCGAGACCAGCCTGGCTAACATGACGAAACCTCATCTCTACTAAAAATACAAAAATTAGCTGGTCGTGGTGGCAGGCACCTGTAATCTCAGCTACTCAGGAGGCTGAGGCAGGAGAATCTCTTGAACCAGGGAGGCAGAGGTTGCAGTGAGCCAAGGTCATGCCATTGCACTCCAGCCTGGGCAACAAGACCAAGATTCTGTCTCGAAAAAAAAAAAAAAAAAAAAAAGAGAGAGAGAGATAGGTGTCTTACTATGCTGCCCAGGCTGGTCTCAGTCTCCTGGCCTCAAACAGTCCTCCTGCCTCAGCCTCCCCAGTAGCTGGGATTACAGGCATGCAGCACCATGCCTGGCCCAAGTCTCTATTGAATGGGTGGTCTACAAGGTTAAGGACTTTAGACCTGGGCTGGCAAGGACTCTTGGGAGAGAATAGGAAGAAAGCGAGAAACACCGGCATTAGTAGATTGCAGAGTTCTAGTTCATGATTATCCCTTGGTCTCATCTCTCTGCACCCTCCTGGAATCCTCCCTATATCTTGTTGATAACCATTCTCAGCGAGGGGTAGTTTCCTAACCTGCCCTGTCCCTCCCCTCCCCAACCCTTGGCTGCCTCCTCTGCCGGCCTATCTGCTCCTTCTTTAAGAGTGATCAGTCATGCATTGTCCCTTTTATGTTCCTTCTCTAGGGTCCCCAGGCACACTTAGCCACTCCTCAGCTCTGGATTCCACTCACATACATGCATTTCCTTGACAATGATCTGCAATGGTTTGTCTATAGGTAAATTTCATCTCTAGGCTGTGAGCTCCCAAAGGGCAAGGACCGATTCACTTCCATCCCTCTATCCTCAGCACTGAGCCCTGCAGACATAGTAGGTGCCCAATAAATATCGCTACATAACAGAGACCCAAGAAAGGCCTTTGGAATTGAACTGAATTGAAAAGAATAGTGAAGACTAAAAATTCGGAGCATAAGGACTGACATTCCTCTGGAAGAGGCAGAGCAAAGGCTGACTGCCTCGTTTCTCTTTTGTAGCCCTCTGGACGGTCTGAGTAGTACAGCCACAGTCCAAGCCCTCCCCTATCCAAATTCGGGACATCTGAAGGACCCGACCCAGCACCATACATGGGGGAAAATCTATATGCCCTCAGCGCTCTTTTATTTCCTCCTTCCAATTCCAATCCCAGGACCTTCCTTGCCATCATTCCGGGGGCGAACGAGTTGACCTCTATGCCCTCCCTTCCAGCACAAGGTATGCAACCCCCGCTTCTCTGTTTCGCAACTTTCCATTCCAGGGTTGACGGAAAACACTGATAAAAGTAGCTTACCCTGGGTGGGCAAGGAGACACCCTTGGTATGCTGTATCCTTAACTGAGGTAGATCATTTCCAAAGACCCCATCTCACATGCTCTTTTGCAATGGATTTTGCCACTCCTCCCATCCAAAGGAAGAATTCTTTATCCTCTCCTTGAATCTGGGCTGGCCCGGTGCCTTGCTTTTAGCAACAGAACTCAGGAGAAGTGAGGCTGGGCAACTTCCAGGCCTTGCAGCTTCTATTTTCACTTTCTTGGAACCCAGCCACGATGTAAAGAGGCCCAAGCTATCCTTCTGGAAAGGCCACATGGAGGAGAACCAAGCACCCCAGCTGACAGCCAAAACCAAGTGCCAGACACGTGAGTGAGGTCATCTTGGGTCTTCCAGCTCCAGTCAAGCTCCAGGGGGAGTGTGGCCATGTGAGTGAACCCAGATGATACCATGTGAAGTGGAAGAACTGCCCAGTGGGGCCCTGCCTGTATCTTTGGCTCACAGAGCCACGAGCACTAACAGTTGTTATTTTAAGCCACTGTGGGTTTGGGGTGGTTTGTTACGCAGCCATAGATAACTGATACATTAACTTTTTTTTTCTGTATGAGCAGAAAAATTGGTGAGGGGGTGGTCTGCGGCTTCTGAGCTGGACTTAGGATATCATTAGAATTCAGGCTTCTCTGTTTTTTTTTGTTTGTTTGTTTTTTGTTTTTTGAGACGGAGTCTCGCTCTGTCGCCCAGGCTGGAGTGCAGTGGCGCGATCTCCGCTCACTGCAAGCTCCACCTCCCAGGCTCACGCCATTCTCCTGCCTCAGCCTCCGGAGTAGCTGGGATTACAGGCGCCCGCCACCACGCCTGGGAAATTTTTTGTGTTTTTAGTGGAGATGGGGTTTCTCCGTGTTAGCCAGGATGGTCTCGATCTCCTGACCTCGTGATCCACCCGCCTCAGCCTCCCAAAGTGCTGGGATTACAGGCGTGAGCCACTGCTCCCAGCCGCTTCTCTGTTTTTGTTTTGTTTTGTTTTGTGTTTAGCTTAAAAGAATACAGTCTCAACCTGGTGATCAAAGTTAGCATCCCCAGAATGAGGCAAATTGGCAGTATGTGCCAGCTGATAGGATGCACTGTGAATGAAAGTGCGTAACCTGAATCTAACCATGAAGAAACAGCTGATAAACCCAAATTGAGGGATGTTCAATAAAATCTCTGACGTGTGCTCTTGAAAAATGTCAGTGTTATGAAAGATATAAAAAGACACAGGAACTGCTTCAGACTAAAGAAAGCAAAAGAGAGGACAACGAAATGCCATATGACATCTGGAGCTTCCTTTGGTGACAAAGGACATCATCAGTACAAATGGGGAGACCTGGAGAAAGTTTTCAGATGAGACAATAACGCTGTGTCAGTGTTCATTCCCTACGTTTGATCATTGTATTGTGGTTTTGTAAGACAATGTTGCTTGTTTTTAGGAAATTCAGAGTGAAGTATTTCACAGAGGTGTGATGTCTGAGAAAACAAGCATTTTTCTCCTCTTTATAGCTGTATCTACAGAGACAGGGGTGGGGGGTGGGGGAAGGATACAGCAAAGTGGTAATGTGGTAACATTTGGGAAATCTGGGTGACAGGTACATGGGAATTCTTTGTATTGTTCTTGCAACTTTTTCCTAAGTCTGAAATTATATTTCAATAAAAAGTAAATTGGGTTGGGCACAGCGGCTTACACTTGTAATCCCAGTGCTTTGGGAGGCCAAAATGGGAGGATCGCTTAAGGCCAGGGGTTTGTGACTAGCCTGGGAAACATAGCGAGACCCCCATCTCTACTAAAAAGTAAAAAAAATTATCTGGCTGCGGTGGCGTGCGCCTATAGTCCCAGCTACTTGGGAGGCTGAGGTAGGAGGATGACTTGAGCTCAGGAATTCAAGGCTGCGGTGAGCAGAGATCACACCACTGGGTGCCAGCCTGGGCGACAGAGCAAGACCCTGTCTGAAAAATAAATAAATAAATGCATAAAGTAAGAAGTTAATTAAAAAAAAAAAGGAAAGCAAATCATCATGTGTGCATGGCTGCTCACTAAGAGGAAAGAACCAGCCGCCTGGGGCAGGACTATTCAGGCTCTTCCTGGAAGTCCCTGGCTCAGAGCAGACTCTTGCCCCTTTCCCCTGTCCCTCTGCCTCTGGTGGCACGCATGTGACAAGGAGCCACTGACCAGCCTGGCTGCCCGCAAGGCCTGGAGCCCGGCATCTGGAAAGGATCAGCTGCCACCGCTAAACTCACCCCTCCACCCACAGCTCATTCCCGGAGTCTCTGAAGGCGGGGCTGAGCTTTGGGGGTTTCGCAATAAGAATCCACACATATTCTTCTGAGGAGGCTGTCAGGAAAAAGCCTTCTCGGGACATCCCTGCAAGCACTTTGCCAAGCCCTCAGTGACACCTTTGCCTTCCTTGCTCATCTGAATTTTGGGGGTTCCTGTTCAGAGGCCACAGAGCACAGGATAACAGAGATGATGGGTGAGCAGATCTTCTGTCAGGACACTTCCTGGGTGGTTTAGCTATTTTGTCTGCCTGGGGCAGGGAGAGAGGAGAGGATCCCTACGGCCCTAGGGGCATCATGAAGTCTCTCCAAGCTTTTGTGCTGAAATGTACATTTTACCTCTCACTTCCATCCTTGCTGCACTTCTAATGCAGTGCAGGCAGCTTTCATGGGATTTGGGCCATGCAGGACTCGCAAGCTCAGCAATGCCAACCATGCACGTTTCTGGGCAGAGCTTCCGGAGGGGCGTGGGCTGGGCTGGAAAGAGCCAGGGGTTTGGAATCCAAGCGAGTCAGGAGGGCAGTCTCCGATTCACCACTTCCAGGCTGGGCAGCATTGGTCTAAAGGCTTCTCCTAGGGCGGAGCTTAATACCCCCATGTGTAAAATGGAAAAAAACAAACACACAAAAACAAATACCCCCATGTGTAAAATGGAAAAAAAAAACACACATGTGTAAAATGGAAAAAAATAAACATTCCTATCGCGAATGAAGCGATAGGAAAGTGCCCGGCATAAAGTAGATTTGTAAAAAGAAACAAAACCAATTCTGTTTTTTTTTTTTTTTTGGTTTTTTTTTTGAGACGGAGTATCGCTCTGTCACCCACACTGGAGTGCAGTAGCGCGATCTTGGCTCACTGCAAACTCCACCTCCCGGGTTCACGCCATTCTCCTGCCTCAGCCTCCCGAGTAGCTGGGACTACAGGTGCCTGCCAACACGCCCAGCTAATTTTTTTGTAGTTTTAGGAGAGACAGGGTTTCACTATGTTAGCCAGGATGGTCTCGATCTCCTGACCTCCTGATCCGCCCGCCTCGGCCTCCCAAAGTGCTGGGATTACAGGCGTGAGCCACTGTGCCCGGCCTAAAACAAAACCAATTCTGCAATTCCATCTGCATTTAGTGAACACTGACTCGGAGCCAGGGGTAGCACGAGGGCCCTCCCAGCTGTGGGAGGATTTAGGTTCAAATCCACGCCTCACCTCTGAATGACTAAGGTTAAATTACCCAATGTAACATATGCCTGGTTTCCCTACCTGGTAACAGGTATAATAATAGCATCCACTGGCCAGATGCAGTGGCTCACGCCCATAATCCCAGCACTTTGGGAGGCTGAGGCAGATGGATCACCTGAGATCAGGGGTTCGAGACTAGCCTGGCCAACATGGTGAAACCCCATCTCTACTATAAATACAAAATTAGCCAGGTGTGGTGGCACGCACCGGTAATCCCAGTTACTTGGGAGCCTGAGGCAGGACAATCGCTTAGAACCCGGGAAGCAGAGGTTGCAGTGAGCCAAGATTGCACTACTGCACTCCAGCCTGGGCAACAGAGTGAGACTCTGTCTTAATAATAATAATAATAATAATAATAATAATAATAATAAATAGCATCAACCTCTTAGACTCCTGTGGGGATCAGCTGAGTCCATACATGTAAATTCACTAACAGTGAATGCTTCTGTAGCAGACATTGCAGGCCAGACACGGGTCTACACTCTTTATTAGTATTGCTCCCATTTTACAGATGAGGAAACTGAGGCACAGAGAGACTGGGTAATTTAATAAGAGGCAGAGGTGGAATCTGACTCAGGAGTCTGGGTCCAGAGTCAGTGTTCCCAACCCCTGAGCTCTACAGCCACAGGCATACAGTAAGTGCTCAATTCATGTTAGCTGCTACTAATGCAGGGCGAGTTTCACAGGCATGAGATCAGTGCCCACACAGGGGCTGGCGCTTAGAAGGGTAATGCTCTCTCGAAGCTCTGCTGTCACCAACTTGAACTTCGTAATAATTTTTGCACAAGGGACTCTGCATTTTCATTTCGCCCCGGGCTGCACAAATTGTGCAGCTGTCCCTGCTGTGTATCTTACAGGAGCAATTGCCTGCTTCTCCCTCCTCCTCTCTCAACTCTGAACTCCTTGGGATGTAAGATTCAGCTAACTCATCTAGCTCTACATCCACCCCTAGCCCATGCCCGGCCTGCAGCAGGTGCTCACATTCTGGTTGGGAGCGACAGAGGTGAGCAGAGCCACAGCTGTTGTTCCTGCCCCCACAGCCCCCTAAACACCCCAAGAATAGCTTCTAGCCCAGGGAGCCTCGGGAACTGCCTGAGAACAAAACTTTCCCGAAGGTGCAGACTCTGGCCAGCGGCCATGGAACCAGGCCTTTCCAGGACGATTGGTGCAACCAGGGGAACTTGCAGCTCTCTGCAAAAGGGGAATCCTAGCCAGGCCCGAAAGACCCTAATCAATAGTTCATTAAGATGCCAGCTCAGAAAATGCAGGGAGACCCAGCATAACGTGTAATTCTGCCTGCGTGGGCTGGTGCTGGGCAGGGTTTTCGCAAGCTGGCAGGGCCCGCAGATAACACTGAGCCCAAAGTGCAGGCTGCAGTCCGAGCACAAGGCAAACACGACCCTCCCTAAGTGGCAGATGTGATTCAGTCCAAAGGTTCAAGTGCGGCAGTTACATTGGTTATGAGATTTTTTCCCCCTTTATACCAGGAGCTGGCAGTGTGGGGGAGGGGGAGAAACCAACACTTGTTGAGCACCTACTATGTGTCTGACTCTGAGCTGGACACACATTAGGAGAAAGGGGTTCAGGACCAGGCAAAAAGTGGGTTTGGGTATTTCTGGGGGTGGAGTTGGACATCATTCCTCTTTCCTGCCTCCCTGACGCGTCCTCCATTCATAATAACTGATTTTTTAAAAAACTGAAGCAAAATGCAATAGCAAAATAGACCGTTGTTGGCCAGGTGCGGTGGCTCACGCCTGTAATCCCAGCACTTTGGGAAACCAAGGTGGGCAGATCACCTGAGGTCAGGAGTTTGAGACCAGTCTAGCCAACATAGTGAAACCCCGTCTCTACTAAAAATGCAAAAATTAGCCAGGTGTGGTGACGCACGTCTATAGTCCCAACTACTCAGGAGGCTGAGGCAGGAGAGTCACTTGAACCCAGAAGGTAGAGGTTGCAGTGAGCTGAGATTGTGCCACTGCACTCCAGCCTGGGCAACAGAGCAAGACTCTGTCAAGAAAGAAGGAAGGAAGGAAGGAAGGGGAAGAAAAAAAGACAGAAAGGTACAACACAGTGGCATTTACTACATTCCCAGGATTCTGCAACCACCACCTCTATCAAGTTCCAAAATATTTCTGTCACTGCAGAAGGAAACCCTAAACCCGCTATCTTTCATTCACTCGTTCTGCTCCTATTCTCTCCCCTCCCTGCCCCTCTCCCTGTCGACCCTGGCAACCACTCACTCATGTGCTTTCCGTCTCTATGGATTTACCTATGCTGGACACTTCATAGAAATGGAATTATACAATTTGCAACCTTTGGTTTCTGGCTTCCTTCACTTCTTCAGCATGATGTTGCTAGATTCATCCATGGCATGGCGTGTGTCAATACTTCATTCCTTTACTGCCAAATCATATTCCGTTGCATGGCTATGCCACGATTTGCTCATCTTCCCATTCAACGATGGCCATTTAGGTCACGTCCACCTTTTGGTTTTTATGAATAATACTATGTACATTACACTTGCTATGTGTACACGTTTCTATATGGACATATGTTTTTGACTCTCGGGTGTATATCTGGGATATCTGGGAGTGGGATTGCTGGGTCTTAGGGCAACTGTATGTTTAGCATTTTCAGGAACTCCCAAACTGTTTCTGAAGGCAACTGCACCATGTGACATTCCCCCACCAGTGTAACATGTGTAACACGTGGGAATGCAGCATGGAAGGAATGTACAAGGGTTCTGATTCTTCACACCCTCACCAACACTTATTATTTTGTTTGTTTCATAATCACCAATTTTTCATGCCGGTGGAGATGAGGCCCTGTCTGCCACGGGGTCTTGTGCACAGAGCCATGTCTTCCAGATTTGCAGGAGAGCCCTACAGAAGCCAGACTGCAAGAAGAGCAATTTGAGTCCTGCCAGAAAGAATCTTTTTTTTTTTTTTTTTTTTTGAGACGGAGTCTCGCTCTGTCGCCCAGGCTGGAGTGAAGTGGTGCGATCTCGGCTCACTGCAAGCTCCACCTCCTGGGTTCACACCATTCTCCTGCCTCAGCCTCCCCAGCAGCTGGGACTACAGGCGCACGCTGCCATGCCCAGCTACTTTTTGTATTTTTTTAAGTAGAGACAGGGCTTCACCGTGTTAGCCAGGATGGTCTCGATCTCCTGACCTCGTGATCCACCCGCCTTGGCCTCCCAAAGTGCTGGGATTACAGGCGTGAGCCACTGCGCCCGGCCCAAGAATTAATCTTACATGGAAGAGCCCGATAGACTGAGAAGCTCCGGGCTGCACTGGTCTTAAAGGGCCTGCCTCCGGGTGGTATGTAGGTGCCTTGGGGAGAACGTGGCTGTGTGTGTGAGTTGAGAGAGAGCTGGGTCACTTGGAGTTGGTAACTTGGAGGCAGCTATGCCAGGGACACCTCCGCCCAAGTGTCACTGCAGTAGGCAGCGTTTTGCCCACTCTGCCATGTCACTGATAGCCTGAGTGAGTTGGCAGAGAGTGATGCTGCAGGTGGTTGGAGCACACCCAGCCCATGTGAGTTAATCATGTGACATCTCCTACCCCAAAAGGAACCAAGAAGTACAATCATATTATCCTTGGAAGGGAAGAGAACCAGAACTATTTGGCAAACAGCATTAACAACTACCACATTTAACTGCCTGCAAAGAATGTATTGACAATAACGTATTGATGGGTAAGTACTAATTACAATAATGGGCTGGGCACAGTGGCTCACGCCTATAATCCCAACACTTTGGGAGGCCAAGTTGGGCGGATCACCTGAGGTCAGGAGTTTGAGACCAGGCTGGCCAACATGGTGAAAGCCCGCCTCCATAAAAATACAAAATTGCCCTGACATGGTGCTGCACGCCTGTAATCCCAGCTACTTGGGAGGCTGAGGTGGGAGAATCGCTTGAACCCAAGAGGTGGAGGTTGCAGTGAGCCAAGATTGCACCAGTGCACTCCAGCTTGGGCGACAACAGCGAAACTCCATCTAAAATAATAATAATAATTACAATAATGTTTCCTGAGTGCTCCCTAGGTACCAGGCATTGTGCTAAATGCACCATTTCATGAATTCTCATAGCAGTCCTAGGGAATAGGCATCATGATCTCAGATGACGCTCACAGAAGGCAAATACTATGTTAGTCTGTTATTCAGAATGCTTTAGGCTGCAAGTTATAGAACACACAACTTAGGTGGGCTCAAATGGTCTTAAGAAATGTCATTACTTCACATAATAAGAAATCCAGGCAGGACACAGTGGCTCACACTTGTAATCCCAGCACTTTGGGAGGCTGAGGCAGGAGGGTTGCTTGAGTCCAGGACTTCAAGACCATCCTGGGCAACATAGCAAGACCCCATCTCTACAATTTTTTTTTTCTTTTAATCAGCCAGGCATGGTGGCATGAACCTGTAGCCCTAGCTACTCCAGGAGCTAAGGCAGGAGGATTGCTTGAGCCCAGGAGTTTGAGGCTGCAGTGAGCTATGATAACACCACTGCACCCCAACCTGAGCAACAGAGCCGTATCTCATCTCTAATTAAAAAAAATATATCCGGCCAGGTGCGGTGGCTCATGCCTGTAATCCCAACACTTTGGGAGGCCGAGGCGGGTGGATCACCTGAGGTCAGGAGTTCGAGACCAGCCTGGCCAACATGGAGAAGCCCCGCATCTACTAAAAATACAAAAACTAGCCAGGCATGGTGGCGGGTGCCTGTAATCCCAGTTACTTGGGAGGCTGAGGCAGGAGAATCGCCTGAACCCAGGAGGCAGAGGTTGCAGTGAGCCAAGATAGTGCCACTGCACTCCAGCCTGGGCAACAGAGCAAGACTCCATCTCAATAAAATAAATAAATAAATAAATAAATAAATAAATAAAATATCCAAGGAAGGGCGTGCTTGGATATAGCCCATGGCTGTGTAGTATCATCATCAACACTGTGAGTTCTTTACAACTTGGATCTAACATCCTTGGGGTCGTCTCTGTCTCAGGCTGCAGAGATTCCCAGCTTTTCATTCAGACACAGAGAGGATTGTTCAGTGTCTCCTCCTTAGGACAAGAGAAGCTTTCCCAAAGGCCCCGCAGACTTTCCTGTCACTAGATCACCTGGTCACTGGTGAACCAGTCATGGGCCAGGGGAATGGAAGTCCCATGCCTGGCATCGTCAGTTGGGTAGAATAGATGTTGGGGACATGGGGTTACAGGGAGAAGGGCAGAGTCAACCATAGGGAACAAAGCCACAGTTTGCACCCAGAGCTGCCTTCTTTTTGACCTCCTGAATATTCAAGAAAACACAACCCAGGCAAGGGTTGTTCTGCAAATCTCCAGCCCAGGGAAGGAAGCCCCACCCCGACTTCCTTTTTTTAAATTTTTTTGAGAGAGGGTCTCACTCTGTCACCAGGCTGGAGTGCAGTGGCACGATCTCGGCTCACTGCAACCTCCACCTCCCAGGCTCAATCGATTCTACCACCTCAGCCTCCTGAATAGCTGGGACTACAGGGGTGCGCTACCACACCCAGCTAATTTTTTTATTTTTAGTAAAGACAAGATTTCTCCATGTTGAGCCCAGGCTGGTCTCGAACTCCTGGGTTCAAGTGATCCCCCTGCCTTAACTGTTGGGATTACAGGAGTGAGCCACCGCACCTGGCCCTGACTTCCTTTTTAACCATGGTTTTAGCACCTGGGCATCCTCTCCCTTTGATCTGCCTTGGACACCCCTGGGGTCCAGCCAACCAGTGACCCAGCATGTCTATTCTAATCAGCCAGCCCAGCTCAGAGCCAGGGCAGGGAACTTCTCATTCTGCTTCTGATCATGTGTCCACTTGCATCAGCCTTCCCTGGCCACCCACAGGGCTGAGGCCTCTGAGAGCTGCTCCTGTTCACTCAGACATATCCAGCAGATCAGCAGTTCTGGGCCCGGGGCCACTACGGCAGGGGCCTTTTGGATTGGCTGTCTGTCCACATGCATCAGCTAATCCTGGCTGGTGGCTCCAGCACCACCTGCAATACGGAGTATGAGGCCTGGCCCCATCATCAAAGGAAGCTGGAGGAGGCAGTGCAATTAGCACATAGCCTTTCTTGTACAGGATGCTAAAGCCTGAGACTCGGCATAGGCAAAGAAATGCACAATGATGGGGAGGGTTTTGGGGGAGTGAGAGGGAAGGATGACAGAGAAGAAAAGAGGAAATAGAGGCTGGGTGCAGTGGCTCACACCTGTAATCACAGCACTTTGGGAGGCCGAGGCCGGTGGATCACCTGAGGTCAGGATTTCGAGACCAGCTTGGCCAACATGGAAACCCCGTCTCCACTAAAAATACAAAAATTAGCCGGTTGTGGTGGCACACGCCTGTAATCCCAGCTACTGGGGAAGCTACGGCAGGAGAATCTCTTGAACCCGGGAGACGGAGGTTACAGTGAGCCAAGATCATGCCACTGCACTCCAGCCTGGGCAACAGAGCAGGGTGGAGTCTCAAAAAAAGCCAGGGGGTTTGTTGGAGAAAATAGAGAGAGAGAGCAGAGTGGGGAGGAACAAGGAGACTCTGAGACGGCAAACTCATCTTGCTCTTGTCTGCATCTCCGGCTCCTATAATACAGTGGTACGTACAGTGGTATGGGCAAGGAAGAGTTGTTTGAACTGACCTGAAAAATGAGGGAGACAGAAAAGATCCCAAGATAAAGGAGGAAGATGAAGGGAGGAGGGGAAAGAAGAAGAAAGAGTGACCGAGCACAGTGGCTCATGCTTGTAATCCCAGTGTTTTGGGAGGCTGAGGAGGGAGGATTGCTTGAGGCCAGCAGCTTGAGATCAGCCTGGCCAGCAGAGCAAGACCCTGTAACACACGCTCCTCAAAAAGGAAAGAGATTCAGAGAAGATAGCAATATGGCAGGGCAGGAATGGGTAACTATGACCCTATAGGGACAAGCCCTATTGCCTTGTCTTTTTTTGAGATGGAGTCTCACTCTGTTGCCCAGGCTGGAGTGCAGCGGAGTGATCTCTGCTTACTACAACTTCCACCCCCTGGGTTCAAGTGATTCTCCTGCCTCAGCCTCTCAAGTAGCTGGGACTACAAGAGCCCACCACCAGGCACGGCTAATTTTTGTGTTTTTAGTAGAGACAGGGTTTTGCCATGTTGGCCGGGCTGTTCTTGAACTCCTGACCTCAAGTGATCTGCCTGCCTCGGCCTCCCAAAGTGCTGAGATTACATGTGTGAACCACCACACCTGGCCTTGTTTTGTTTATGCTGTCTTTGCTACGGTCTGTATTTATGTGCCCCTCTCAAATCCATACATTGAAATCAAACCCTAGGAGGTGGAGCCTTTGGGATTAGGTCATGAGGGTGGAGACCTCGTGATTGGCATTAGTGCCTTCATAGAAAAGGCCTGAGGGAGCTTGTTCACTCTTTTGCTCGGTCCAGCCTGTGAGGACATAGCAAGAAGGCCCATCTAGGAAGCAGAGACCAAGCCCTCACCAGACACGGCATCTGTTGATCTTCCCAGCCTCCAGAACTGTAAGCAATATACCTCTGTTGCTGAGAAATTACCCAACCTCAGGAATTGTGTTAGAGCAGCTCAGATGGACTGAGACACTCACTGTGAGCTCAGTCCCTGGAATTCTGTAGTGGTTGCAATAAATGTTTGTCTTGCTGAACTGAAAGAAAAGGAAGGGAGTCTGGGCATGGTGGCTCATGCCTGTAATCCCAGCACTCTGTGAGGCCGAGGCAGGTGGATCACCTGAGGTCGGGAGTTCTAGACCAGCCTGACCAACATGGAGAAACCCCATCTCTACTAAAAATACAAAAGTAGCTGGGTGTGGTGACGGGTGCCTATAATCCCAGCTAGTTGGGAGGCTGAGGCAGGAGAATCCCTTGAACCCAGGAGGCAGAGGTTGCAGTGGGCCGATATCGCACCATTGCACTCCAGCCTGGGCTACGAGAGCAATACTCCGTCTCAAAAAATAAAAGAAAAAAAAAAAGAAAAGGAGACAGAATAGGAGAGGAAAGAAGACAGAAGGAAGACAGGATGGGGTGGGGGCCCTGGGATGATGAGAGGAGGCATAGAGACAGAGAAAGGGGAGAGGAGGAGAGGACAGGAACAAAGAAAGGCTGGGACTGGAAAGCATAGGAGGAGGGAAGGGCGAGAACAGGCAGGGACAACCAAGCAGGGAGGTGGAAGCAAAGAGGTTGGGCCAGCCATGGGATCTCTAGCAGGCTCTTCCTTTGATGAAAATGCACATTAGCAAACGTGCTAGGATCTGACAAGCGCCAACAGGCCCATCGCAGAGTTAAAAAGCTCTACATCTGTCAGGGTTTCAATTTTTAAGTCAGCACTTTCCTTCTTCTCATGCTGGGATTCTGCAACTGTGGTTTCCCCCCACCCCCATGTCTCCCGCCAGTGCGTGGGGCTTGTCATGGAGCCGTCAGACTTCCGAGGAGCCTGGCGGGGCAGAGTGGGTATGGGTTGGGGGGGTGGTCTATGCAGGGTGAGGGTGGTGGCCTCCTCCACAGCAGCTGTTGCAGGGATGTCCTGTCGAAGGAGGGCCCAGGGAAGTGGGTGATGTGGTAATGTTCTCAGCAGACACTGGGAGTCTCCAAGGCAATGAACTTCTGTAATGGGTTGAACTGTGTCCCCCCAAATTCATGTCCACGCAGAATGCTGGGATGTGACATTATTTGGAAAAAGGGTCTTTGTAGGTTGATATGGTTTGGCTGTGTCTCCACCCAATTCTCATCTTGATTTGTAGCTCCCATAACTCCCAAGTGTTGTGGGAGGGACCCAGTGGGAGATAACTGAATCACGGGGGAGGTTTCCCTTAATACTGTTCTCGTGGTAGTGAATAAGTTTCACGAGATCTGGTGGTTTTATAAGGGGAAACCCCTTTCACTTGGCTCTCATTCTCTCTCGCCGCCACCACGTAAGATGTGCTTTTTGCCTTTCACCATGATTGTGAGGCCTCTCCAGCCACGTGGAACTGTGAATCCGTTAAACCTCTTTTTTTTTTTTTTTTTAAATAAATTACCCAGTCTCGGGTATGTCTTTATCAGCAGTGTAAAATGGACTAATACATAGGTGTAATTAGTTAAGGATCTCCAGAAGCAATTATCCTGGATTTACGGTGGGCCTTAAACCCAACGACTGGTGTCTTTATAAGAAGAAGAGAAGACACAGAAACAAAAAGAGGCAAGACCAGGTGGAGACGGAGGTAGAAGTTGGAGTGAAGCATCTACAAGCAGAGGAACGCCAAGGATTGCCTGGAGCCACCAGGAGCCAGAAGAGAGGCCTGGATCAGACTCTCCCCGGAAACCTCCAGAAGGAACCAACTCTACCCAAACCTTGATTTTGAACTTCCGGCCTCCAGAACTGTGAAATAATAATTTCTATGGGTTTAAGCTACCCAGTTTACAGTACTTTGTGACAGCAGTCCTGGGAGACAAATATACCCTCCTGACCTTGGGGAAGTGTTTTCCCTGCTCTTGTGTCCAAGGGGGAGTTGGCAGGACTGTTAGAAATGAGGGATGGGCCTCCATTTGGCCCACCATGGGCCAAATCTCCAGAGCTGGAGAGTAGTAATTTCTCCCCCTTGGGAGTGGTGTTGATTCTCTTCTCTCTAGAGCTCAAGGTCCTGGGCTAGCAGCTGGAGAACAGGACTCTGAGGGACTTTCATCCAGCCATGCATTCAGGGACCCAGTGAGGGTGATGGGCAGCTGCCACACCCTACAGAATCTGGGCCTGAGTGCTGAAGAGGGACCAACCTGGGTGCCCCTTAAGCATAGGATTCAGACTCCAACAGGCCTGTTTTGTTTTTATTTTAGAGACAGGGCCTCACTCTGTTGCCTAGACTGGAGTGCAGTGGTGTGATCATAGCTCACCGCAGCCTTGACCTCCTGAGCTCAAGCATCCTCCTGTCTCAGCGTCCCAAGTTGCTGGGACTACTGGTGCTTGCCACTGCATCCGGCTAATTTTTACATTTTTTTGTAGAGACAGGGTCTCACTATGTTGCCCAGGCTGGTCTTGAACTCCTGGCCTCAAGAGATCTTTCTGCCTCGGCCACCCAAATTGTGGTGATTATAGGTGTGAGCCACTGCGCCCGGCTTACACCAGTTTTAAATCCTACAACATCCTAGGTGTGCTAGCTTGGATTGGTCACTCAGACTCCAGGGTTCTACAGTCTCGTGTAAAATGAGAAGGAGAATATCTACCTCATGAAGTCACTGGGAGATTTAGAGAAAAAACACACATGAAGAGTTTAAATAATGATGATAATGAAGATCTTTCAAAGCCTGTTTCTGTGTAGCCCTGAAGGGTTACTGTGGGTCACCCTACGGAAAGATCTATGCTCTCCAGCAAAATCGGAAGACTGGACACAAATGTGTGAAATGAGGAAATCATAAAATACACAAGATTAGCAAGTGACTAGGATTTAATCCAGGCTGACTGGAGTCAGGTTTTATGTGGTGTCATGGAGGTAGGTAGGGTGGCCAGCTTTTCCCAGTTTGCCTGAGACTTGCCTGGGTTTAGTGCCGGAAGTCCCATGTCCTGAGCAAACTAGGATAGTTGGTCACCTTGCACGGAGAAGCACTGAAGGAATTATCCACCCATCCATCCATCAACTCATTCATTCATTTAAACATTCCATGAACATGCATTGAGTGCCCACCATGGGCCAGTCTCTTTTAGGCACTGGCCAGGATAGAAGGAGCCCCCATAGCAGTCACATGCATACTTGCATTCATTCATTAAGTAAAGCATCTATTATGCAACTTCTGTGTGCCAGGCATTCTTAGGTGCAGCAAAGACAAAGACAAATAGTATCATTTGTGTCATTAAGATGTTTATATCTGGCCAGGCGCAGTGGCTCATGCCTGTAATCCCAGCACTTTGGGAGGCTGAGGCAGGCGGATCACAAGGTCAGGAGTTCGAGATCAGCCTGGCCAATATAGTGAAACCCCGTCTCTACTAAAAATACAAAAAATTAGCCGGGTGCGGTGTCGCACGCCTGTTGTCCCAGTTATTTGGGAGGCTGAGGCAGGAGAATCGCTTGAACCCAGGAGGCGGAGGTTGCAGTGAGCTGAGATTGTGCCATTGCACTCCAGCCTGGGTGACAGAGCAAGACTCCATTTCAAAAATAATTAGCCGGGCATGGTGGTGGGCACCTGTAATCTCAGCTACTCAGGAGGCTGATGCAGGAGAATTGCTTGAACTTGGGAGGCAGAGGTTGCACCACTGCACTCCAGCCTGGGTAACAAGAGCAAAACTCCATCTCAAAAATAAAAAGATGTTCATATCTAGCAGTGGAGAGAGATGGGGCAGCAGACAATTTCCTCCCACGCAAGAAAGGCTGTTGCAGCATTGGTTAAATAGAGAAGCCTTAAGGAGGAAGAGAAGGGATTTCCAATTCCACCCCAGGATGGAAGGGGTGAATAGGAAAGCTTCTGGAAAGAGGTGGTGCTGAGCTGTCTCCAAAAGGAGAGCTGGCTGGAGGCAGGTAGAGAAACAAGGAAGGGCATTGATGCAAAAGGATCAGGCTGAACCATGGTGGCCAAGTGAGTTCTGCACTTAGGAAGTCCAAGCATGATGCCACCGGGAGGTGGGAGAGACGAGGAAGGGCAAAGAGAGGGGAGCGAAGAGAGGAGCTCAGTTTGCAAAGGTACAGAGATAGGGGCTTGGAAGGACTTGTGGAAGGACCAACAGTGGGGTGTTGACAGAAGGGAGGTGTTTAGAGTTTATTCCCTGGCCTGGGGTCTGCCAGTTGTCCTGGCTGGTGGTCAGGAGTGAGGGCCTGCCAGAGCAAAGCCCTGGGAGAAGATTCGAAGGAGGAAAGAGACACAGGCTAAGCTTCATGACTGACTACCCTATGGGAGAAACAAGGAGAAGAAATAAAAGTTGGGCCACTCTGGCACTGGACTGGCTGGATACCATCTTAGTTTTGGGTCTAGCTTTTAGGACAGTAAGGTGCACTGAGTCTTCCTTGTGTTCAGGTCAAAGACGCTCATTGTCCCTATTTGCTCTGTTAATTTTTTCTGTCCAGTGCAAAAACATTTATTGAGCATCTTGGAGTTGGACCCCCCATTACTGAGCCCTCAGTGTACAAAGAGAATTAAGATAAAAGCTCCATCCACAAGGAACTTATGATACAGTGGTGAAGGCAGATGCAGACACACACACACACACACACAGCCACACTAGAATACAATAACAGAAAGACCCATTGTAGCGACCACTTTCTCTCTCTCTCTCTCTTTTTTTTTTTTTTTTGAAACACAGTTTCACTCTGTCGCCCAGGCTGGAGTGCAGTGGTGTGATCTTGGCTCATTGCAACCTCCACCTCCCAGGTTCAAGCGATTCTCCTGCCTCAGCCTCCTGAGTAGCTGGAATTACAGGTGTGCGCCACTACATCTGGCTTATGTTTGTATATTTAGTAGAGACCGGGTTTCATCATGTTGGTCAGACTGGTCTTGAACTCCTGATCTCAAGTGATCCTCTCGCCTCAGCCTCCTGAAGTGTTGGGATTACAGGCGTGAGCCACCGCACCCGGCCATCCCGAACTTTCTGCTTTCCTTTTGATGGGATCCCTCTTCCCCTTCTAGGGAGGTAAAGACAGAGACTCTGCAGGCATCACAGAGGACTTCTCTGGGTTCTATGGCTGCCCTAAAAAGGCTTGGAGTGTCTGGGCAGTGTGGCACTGCCCCTGGTGCTTGGGACCCAGCCCTGCGCTCTGCTACACAGTCTTTACGTCTGCCCCTTAATTTCCAGGACTTTCAATTTCCTGATCTAAGAGAATTTTATAGACATGGTGTGCGTGGCTGGCTGTAATAACCGTCTGTTGAATAAATGACCCCTTCTGTCTTGACTTGCAGGTAGTTAAACCTCATGCTGAGAGCAAAGGTGAAAGACTCGGGGCGAGCGGTGTAGGGGTTTGCTTTGCCAGTGACCTGCAGGCTGTCTTCACTCTTTCACTTTGTCACTGACAGAACATGACTAACAATGTTTATTTACCTCCTTTGGTGTTTGGAACTGCTTAAGCAAAAATATTTGGTATAAGAAATGCTTCCTGACTTCTGCTGTTGGGTCCCACTGAGTTAGCACCCCAATTTATCTCTAGGGGATAAATTGTCCCCCACCTACCCCATGTGTATCCTGGGCTTTGGGTAATATTAAATGCATCCTGGCCAGGCGTGGTGACTCACACCTGTAATCCCAGCACTTTGGGAGGCCAAGACAGGCAGATCACCTGAGTTTCGGAGTTCAAGATCAGCCTGGCCAACATGGTGAAACCCCATCTCTACTAAAAATACAAAAATTAGCCATAGGCGATGGCAGGTGCCTGTTAATCCCAGCTACTCAGGAGTCTGAGGCCGGATAATCACTTGAACGTGGGAGACGGAGGTTGCAGTGAGCTGAGATCGCATCACTGCAGTCTAGCCTGGGTGACAGAGTGAGACTCTGTCTCAAAAAACAGAACAAAACAAACAAAAACGCATACTTCAGCTCTGGGGGTGCCATGTGACTCAGGACTGGCCAATCAGAACACTGTGTTTTCCTGGCCACAGGGATTGGATCAGAGATGGACCTGTGGTCCAATCAGAGCCAACAGGATGCAAATATTTTTGCAACAACCTTTGGAAAAGGCTCCCTAATCTTCTCTACCGGACTTGAAGCTGAGAAAATGGGACAGGGCCTTCTGACAGCCATTTCGTGGAGATAGGAGTGGAAGCAGTATGGAAAAAAAGCCAGGTTCTGGTGATATTTGCACCCCTAGATTCCACAGGGCCTGAAACCAACCATGATGGTTAATTATATATGTCAACTTGAATGGGCCACAGGGTGCCCAGAGTAAACATTGTTTCTAGATGAGATTAGCATTTGAATATGTGGATTCAGTACAAGTAGACTGCCTTCTCCCATGTGGGCGGACATTGTCCAATCCTGAATGAAACAAAAGGCAGAGGGAGAATGCATTCACCCTTTTTTCCGCCGCCTCAGTGTTTGGGCTGGGACACCTTATCTCACCTTCTCCTGCTCTTGGACTGGGATTGACATCATGGTCTTCCCTGGTTCTCAGGTCTGATTGACACCGCCAGCTTTCCTGGGCCTTCAGCTTGCTGATGGCAGATCGTGGTACTTCTCAGCCTCTGTAATTCCATGGGCCAATTCCTCATACGGTGTATATAAGCATATATTATAGGTTCTGTTTCTCTGGAGAACTCTGGCAGACATACCACCTATTCTCTAGACTTTTCAGTTGTGTGTGCCAATACATTCCTCATTTTGCCTAAACCAGCTCAAGTTGGAGCAGTGCCTACTTAGAATCTAAAGAGTCCTTGTGTGCTCATCATTTAGACTAGGGGTCAGCAAACCACGACTTGTGAGCCAAATCCAATCCAACACCTATTTTTTTTCCCTCCTTCTTTATGAACCTTATTGAGTTATAATTTACATCATGTCAAATTTGTCCATTTAAAGTACATGATTTGATCTGTTGTAGTAAATATACACAGTCATGCAAACCAGCACCAAAATTATTTTTTGGAACACTTCTATCCACCCCCAAAATTTCCCTCATGTCCTTTTTTGCTTTATCGGTAAATGAATTTTTTTTATAATAGCTTTTTTGAGATGTGATTCATATGCCATAACATTCATCTATTTAAAGTGTACAATTCAATGATTTTCAGTACATTTATAGATATGTGCAACCATCGCCACAGTCAATTTTAGAATACTTTCATCACTTCAAAAAGAAACTCTGTGTCCTGATTCCCTCAACTCCAGCCCCCAGCAACCATTAATCTAATTTCTTTCTCTATGGATTTGTCTATTGTGGACATTTCATATAATAGAATTATCTCATGTGTGGTGATTGGCTTCTTTCATTTAGCATAACCTCAAGGTTCTTCCATGTTGTAGCCCGTATCACTACTTCATCCCTTTTTATGGCTAAATAATATTCCCTTCTATGGATATGCCATATTGTACTTATCCATTCATCCAGCTGAGGGACATTTGGGCTGTTTGCATATTTTGGCTATTATGAGTCATGCCACCATGAACATTCCGGCACAAGTTTTTGTGTGGACATGTTTCCATTCCTCTTGCATATACACCTGGAAGTAAGATTTCCAGGTCATATGGCAGTTCTATGTTTACTCATTTGAGGAACTACCAATTACCTGCGGAAAACAGAACCTCTGGTGTTTTTCAGAGTGGCTGCATCTCTTTTTTTTTTTTTTTTTCTTTTTTTTGAGATGGAGTTTTTATCTTGTTGCCCAGGTTGGAGTGCAATGGCACAATCTCGGCTCACCGCAACTTCTGCCTCCTGGGTTCAAGTGATTCTCCTGCCTCAGCCTCCTGAGTAGCTGAGATTACAGGCATGCACCACCACGTCTGGCTAATTTTGTATTTTTGTAGAGATGGGATTTCTCAATGTTGGTCAGGCTGGTCTCGAACTCCCGACCTCAGGAGATCCGCCTGCCTTGGCCTCCCAAAGTGCTGGGATTGCAGGCGTGAGCCACCGTGCGTGGCCGGCTGCATCATTTTACATTCTTTTTTATCTTTTTTGAGACAGAGTTTCTATTGCCCAGGCTGGAGTGCAGTGGTGCGATCTCAGCTCACTGCAACCTCCGTCTCCCAGGTTCAAGCAATTCTCATGCCTCGGCCTCCCGAGTAGGTGGGATTACAGGCACCCGCCACCATGCCCAGCTAATTTTTGTATTTTTAGTAGAGACAGGGTTTCACCATGCTGGCCAGGCTGGTCTCAAACTGGTGACCAAGTGATCCACCCGCCTCAGCCTCCCAAAGTGCTGGATGTACAGGTTTGAGCCACTGCACCCAGACCATTTTACATTCTTACTAGCTGGTTTCTCCACATCTTCACCAACACTTATTATGATGTTTAGATTATAGTCATCCTAGTGGGGGTGAAGTGCCGCCACCAGTTTTGTAAATAAAGTTTTATTGGAACACTCACACTCGTTTGTCATTTACATATTGTCTATGGCTGCTTCTTTTTTTTTATTTTGAGACGGAGTCTCGCTGTCTCCCAGGCTGGAGTGCAGTGGCGCGATCTCGGCTCGCTGCAAGCTCCGCCTCCCGGGTTCATGCCATTCTCCTGCCTCAACCTCCCGAGTAGCTGGGGCTACAGGCGCCCGCGTGCATGCCCGGCTAATTTTTTTATATTTTTAGTAGAGACGGGGTTTCACCGTGTTAGCCAGGATGGTCTTGATTTCATGACCTCGTGATCCACCCACCTCGGCCTCCCAAAGTGCTGGGATTACAGGTGTGAGCCACCTCGCCCGGCCTGCTTTTTTTTTTTTTTTTTTTTTGAGACAGAGTCTCGTTCTGTAGCCCAGGCTGGAGTGCAGTGGCACAATCACAGCTCATTGCAACCTCTGCCTCCTGAGTCCCGGTTCAAGCAATTCTCCTGCCTCAGCCTCCTGAATAGCTGAGATTACAGGCACGCGCCGCTATGCCTAATTTTTGTATTTTTAGTAGAGACAGGGTTTCACCATGTTGGCCAGGCAGGTCTTGAACTCCTGACCTTGTAATTCGCCTGCCTCGGCCTCCCAAAGTGCTGGGATTACAGGCATGAGCCACCGTGCCCGGCCTATGGCTACTTTTACAACAGCGGAGTTGAGTAGTTGCTACAAACATGATATGATGTGCAAAACTTAAAATATTTTCTGTGTCACCCTTTACAAAAAAGTTTACTGATCCCTGATTTAGACTAATCCTTTTATTTTTAATTAGAGGAAATTAAGCCTGAGAAATATTGTATCTCTATGTCGAGGCAAATGGCTAGGACTGGAGTTTTTTTGCGTGTTTTTTGACATGGGGTCTTGCTTTGTTGCCCAGGCTGGAGTGCAGTGATGTTATCGTGGCTCACTGTAGCCTTCGCCTCCCTAGCTCAAGAGATCCTCCCACCTTAGCTTCCAGAATATCTAGGACCACAGCTGCACACCACCATGCTCAGCTGGTTTTTAATTTTTTAAATTAAAATTATTTTAATTTATTTTTTGGTAGAGATGGAGTCTTACTATGTTGCTCAGGCTGGTCTTGAACTCCTGGTCTCAAGCTATCCTCCTGCCTTGGCCTCTTAAAATGCTGGAACTAGAGGTGTAAGCCACCATGCCTGGCCTAGGACTGGAATCTTTCTGGGACTCGGTTCTGACATCCATGAAGTGGGATACAATGCCCACCTTATAGAGCCAGGCCCAGTGGCTCACATCTGTAATCTCAGCACTTTCGGAGGTCAAAACGAACAGATCACTTGAGGTCAGGAGTTTGAGACCAGCCCGGCCAACAAGGTGAAACCCTGTCTCTACTAAAAATTGAAGAATTAGCAGGGCATGGTGGCGGGCGCCTGTAATCCCAGCTACTCAGGAGGCTGAGGCATGAGAATCGCCTGAAACCGGGAGGTGGAGGTTGCAGTGAGCTGAGATCGTGCCACTGCACTCCAGCCTGGGTGACAGAGTGAAACTTGGTCTCAAAACAAAGCAACCAACCAACCACCTTATAGGATGTGGTGAGACTTGTAAAGCAAGGGCAGTCAAGTGCTTGGCCCAGGAATAAATAGACATTAAACCCAGCACTTCTCTAGAATCTGAGATGCCTGGCTCCTGATCTAATGGCCTGCACATCCCCTAATTTCTCATCCAGATGCTTTTTCTGTCACCCAGCTGGCTCTAGCTGAGTTACTGGTGTTCCTACTGAGTCTTCCTTACTCTGATCTGAAAGCCTAAGATATGCATCTTACATAAAAATTAGAATCATGGGGCAGCGTGGCTCATGCCTGTAAGCCCAGCACTTTGAGAGGCCGAGGCGGGCGAATCACAAGGTCAGGAGTTCAAGACCAGTATGGCCAACATTGTGAAATCCCATCTCTACTAAAAATACAAAAATTAGCCGGGCATGGTGATATGCATCTGTAATCCTAGCTACTTGGGAGGCTGAGGCAGGAGAATCACTTGAACCATGGAGGTGGAGGTTGCAGTGAGCCGAAATCATGCCACTGCCCTCCAGCCTGGGTGGCAGAGCGAGATTCTGTCTCAAAAAAAAAAAAAGATTCAAAAAAGATTCACGCATCTGGACATATCACTCAGCATGCAGACTGGAGTCCTCTCTTCTCTCCCACATCCTGGCGTCTCTTCTGTCCTCTGGCACACCATCACTGTTGGCCAGCAAGCTGGGTCTCTCATCTCTTCAGCCTTGTCTCCATCCTAGCTCTGTGTCTCTGGGTCAGTACCAATTATCCATACACACATTCATGCATCCCAGGACAAGGCCAAGCTTCTGTCGGGAACACGGACTCCATTTGAAGTCAGGCAGGTAGGGTGGGGATCTGGCCCTTATACCTGGCTGTGGAACCTTGAGTGTGTTACTCAACCCCTCTTGGCCTCAGTTTCTTTATCTGTAAAGCATGGACAGCCATGTTTACCTGTCAGGGCCACCCTGAGTATGAAATGAACTAACAAATGGGAAGCCAGCATGGTTTAATGAACGTGTTCTCCAGGAAGTAGGGGTCAAAAAACAACCCTCTCTATATATTGCAGCAGTGTAAAGAGCCTTATATGCATTCTTCCCATGTTACAGTGGGGACAGGGGCTCAGAGATGTGAAGTGAGCTTCCCAAGGTCACACAGCAAGTGAGCGGAAGGGCTCTGCGCCTAACTTCCCGTACCACCTCAGGCCAGCTCCTTCTCTACTTGGGGCCTCCGTGTCCCCATCATTGTTCAGATGATCTAGAAGCTCTCGTTCTATTCTTTTTCTTTTTTTTTTTTTTCAGACAGAGTCTCACTCTTGTTGCCCAGGCTGGAGTGCAGTGGTGCGGTCTTGGAACATGGGAGGCAACCTTAGCCTCCCAGGTTCAAGCAATTCTCATGCCTCAGCCTCCCAAATGGCTGGGATTATAGGCACTTGCCACCACGCCTGGCTAATTTTTGTATTTTTAGTAAAGACGGGGTTTCACCATGTTGGCCAGGCTGGTCTTGAACTCCTGACCTCAGGTGATCTGCTGCCTCAGACTCCCAAAGTGCTGGGATTACAGGTGTGAGCCAACATGCCTGGCCTCTCGTTCTCTTCTATATCCAGAGTCCTAACTCCCTCATGGTTCATCTCCTGGGAGGGGCGGGGACGGCTTACCCACCTGTCCTTCACCTGGCCTCCTGACCCACAGGCAGTGCCCCCACATCTGTCCCCAAGGCTTCTCTCCCCTCCCTTCCCTCTCTCCTTCCTGCTGCTTAAGAGCATTATTTGCTTCTTGCAAAATGGCCTTATGCTGGGGAGAGCCCCCTCTGCGTCCTACAGGTATTTCTGCTCTTGGCTGACTTGTTTTCACAGTGCCGATCTGACAGTTCTGCAATGGAAATGAGGGTTTTCTGGCATGGTTGTGGCAGGGTGCGGAAGCTTTACTCAGCTCAGACTCATGACAACGATGATTCCTCATAATAAGCCCTCTCATCTGAGTCAGCTACCCAGGAATTCTATAAAATACGTGGGAAGAGGCCCCTGGTGGGAACTTAGATCCCGACGGTCACTCTTCCTGGTGTGGCTGGTCCTGCCTTAGTTACTGCCACCTCCCTCTGCCCTTCACAGCCAATTCCTACTTCTCCTTCAAGTCTGGTCTAAAATGTCACCTCCTTAGAGAGGCCCTCCCAGATTGCTCATGTAAATAGCCTCTTCCCTCCATTCTCATCCTAGCTTCCTGTTTGCTTCCTTCAGCAGACTTAACCCAAATTACAATTTTACACATTCATGTTATTTGCGGGCTGTTAAGTATTAAAGATTCTGAAAGGGGTGGGGCTGGCGTCACGTTTTTCATTGATCCCTGCCCCAGCTCTGTCAGTGTCTAGCACACAGTAGGTACTCCATGCATTTTCGGTGAATGAATAAAAACATTGTTTGGAGCAGTGAGGGAGGCCCGGGGAAGCTGCTTTTTGGCAGTGAGAACACGCGGAGCTGGAGATCCTCCTGCAGGGAGCTGACTTCATCCTTCTTGTTCCCGTCCCAAACCTTGTCCAGAGGCTACAGGGAGGGAACTGTATGTACAACTATCTTTGCAGCTTTTCAGACTTCCGAACAAGCTGCCTTCCCAAGAAAACACATTACCCAGAGGCTTTTTCTCCCCTCCTGCTCAGACAGGCAGTGGCCCAAGGAACGGCGTTTTGTTTATGATAATAAAGTGGGACCCATGGCAACGCATTGTGATGTCATGGCAGTGTGAGATCATAAATCCTTCCAGGGGAAGAATGAAGCGCAGCGGACACAGTGGCTTCTCAGCCTCCCCTGGCCCAACTGAGGCTGTTGCTAGATATGTTTTTCCTGTATCAGGTGGTTCATTTCTTTTTTTCTTTTTCTTTTTGCCTCTTGATCTTTTTTTTCTTTTGTCCCTAAAGAAAAAAAATTAAAATAAATAAATAAAAGTTTTAAAAAAACTCTGAGTGGAAAGATTTGTCCCAGGAATTTCCTGCTGGCTAATGTCCAGTTCGCAGAGAATGCCAGCAATAATGGGAACAATGCTCACTCGTCCCGGACCTGTGATGAGAAAACTTTCCCAATTCCCCAGTTCCGTGGCTGAAATATGGCAAAGCCTTGGAGAGTTACTGGGCAGCGGACCATGGAGTTTGCAAGGAAAGATGTCCCTTGCTCACACTCTTAGTCTGCCCGTCCACCGTCAACCTTTCTCTCTCTTTTGCTCCTTCTCCATTTCTGTTTCTTCTTGCCACTCTCAATCTGTCTGGCTCTCTCTTACGTGGGTTTTCCGTTGTTTCTCCACCACTCTCCGTTTGTCCCTCTCCAGCTTCGTCTCGATCTCTCTTTCTCAGTCTCAGTCTGTGTTTTTCTTTCTCCACATTTCATTCTCCTGCTGAGTCTGTCTGTCCCTCCCAGGCTCTGTCCTGGTGGTCCTCACTGGTTTTGACTCGCTGTTTCTCTCTTTCCCCACTCACTTTCCTCCTCCCTTCCCTCTGTGCTTATGTTACTGAAGGAAATCACATTTGGAACTCTGAGGACTGAAGAAGGGCAAAGCTGCCCCTGGGGTTTTGTGATCTGCAAGCTGAGTGGCGACGGGTCCCTATTTCCAGGGTGGGTGTTCCGCGAGGCAAACCAGACCCCGACGCAGGATATCTACCCCCATTCAAGGAATATGTTGAGCCTGTGATACAGGAGCTGGAGAGAAGGTCACTGGCCAGTCTGCCAGGGCCTGTAGACTTTCCAGCACTTCTCCCTGCCAGCCCCACCCATGCCTTCTCTGCTACCATCCTCCCCACCCTCAGCACACACTGCAGATGGGGAGGAGAGGCGCTCACTTGGCGGGAGGAGGGAAGGGAGGGGAGTAGGCTCTTCCAATCTTTGGCCACCCCAGGGCCCTTGTTCTGCCTGGAGCCTCCTTTTGACAACCCATATTCTGTTCCGCAACAGCCCCCATACTTAATCTAAATCTGGGTTTTTCAGCCTCAGTCCTATTGACATTCAGTGCTGGATGATTATTTGCTGTGGGGGACTGTCCTGTGTTGTAAGATGTTTAGTGGCATCTCTGGCCTCTATTAGATGCCACCACGAACAACTCCCCTCGCATGGTCACAGCAAAAATGACTCCAGACCAAATGTCCTGTGGGGGTAGCGATGGGGGGTGGGGTTAAAACCACCCCTGGCTGAGAACCACTGGTCTAAACCATCTCTGCTCCTGCTCCTTCCATCCACATTCCTCCCTGTTACTCTCATTTTCTCTCTTGCTAAAACCCTCCATGGCTCCCTATTATTATTAGTAGTAGTAGTAGTAGCAGTACCATGAATATCATAGCAAACACCTATATAGGGCTTTCTGTGTGCCAGGGATTTGGCCATGTGCTTTGTGTATATATTAACTAATTTCCTAGCCCCTATCTCACGGGGCTGTTGTGAGGTTGATCATGAGAAAGCAACATAGCACCTAGCCCAGTGCTAAGAGGTTGTTATTACTACGAGTCTGTGGGTCTTAGTGTCCCTAAGCCACACCCTGTCATGCCACTATGCTTTTGCACCTACCTTTCCCACTGCCTGGACCTACTTTGCCCCCTTTCTCCACTTGGTGCCCTTCTCCCCCACTGGGACCTGCTTCCCATCTGAGTGGCTCTCCCAAGACTTTCCTCTGGGCCTAGAGCACCCTGGGCCCCTCCACTGGAGGCTCCTATCTCCAGTTCAGCAGACTGACCAGGAGCTGGAGGTGGTACAGGGGCGATGGTTTATTCAGGGGTACTGGGTCTGGAGGTTCTTCTTGTTCTTTCTTTTTTTTTTTTTGATACAGTGTCTTACTCTGTTGCCTGTCGCCTAGGCTGGAGTGCAGTGGCATGATCTCAGCTCACTGCAACCTCCATCTCCTGGGTTCAAGGGATTCTCCTGCCTCAGCCTCCCAAGTAGCTGGGACTACAGGCGCCTGCCGCCAGCCCAGCTAATTTTTGTATTTTTAGTAGAGGTGGGGTTTCACCATGTTAGCCAGGCTGGTCTCGAACTGCTGACCTAAAGTGATCTAATAATAATAATATGGAGTCATGGAGGGTTTTAGCAAGAAAGAAAATGAGAGTAACAGGAGGAACGTGGATGGAAGGAATAGGAGCAGAGATGGTTTAGACCAGTGGTTCTCAGCCAGGGGTGGTTTTAACCCCCATCCCCCACAGCTACCCCTGCAGGACATTTGGCCACACCTGCAGTCATTTTTGTGTAGGTCTGAGGTTGAAAAACCCAGGTTTAGATTAAGTATTGGGGCTGCTGCAGAACAGAATCCGGCCTGGGTCTGCAGGTTATAATGAATAAGGGCGAGTACCTTTGGTGGGAAACCTAAGAATGATGAGGGCAGAAATAAGCATCAAAGTCCCACCATACCCTCCATCCCCCCAGCCCCCCCACCCCCCATACCCCCATCCCCACCTCGGTCTCAGGGCTACACCTATCCTCTATACTGTCTCCCTGGTGCCATGTGACCCAAACCCGGCCAATGAGATGAAGCCACGCCCCTGGTCACAGTCAATGGCTTGTGGCTGTGCACGTGACTTCACTTGGTCCAGTGACATTTTTGGACACGAGGTGGGGTTAAAGGTGAACCTGGGTGCGGCTCCCTGCAGTGGTCCTGTCGGGAATCAATGTCAAGAAAGCTGGGACTGAGATGGAGCTGGAGGCTGGAGGCCGCTATTTGAGGCCTGTGGGCAGGCGGTGCCGGAAGTTCTGCCTTGGGCTCCCCACCTCCGGGGCCCTGAGTCCGTCTGTTTCCCTGAAGCTGTTGGGAGTTGGTTTTCTTCCTTCTCCCTCAGTCACGCCCCCGACTCCCATGCTGGTGCCTTGTGCCCCTTGGTCTTCCCACCCTGCCTTTCGAAACCCTCCTTTCTGTGGAGCCCTGGGTTCTTCCCATCTCAGACATGAATCCTCCAGAATTAATGAGAACCCCTGGGGCCCCCGCTTAGCCCTGCACACTGGGTTTGCAGACCTCCCTCCCCAAGCTCGAGGTGATGCCACAGGAACTGAAAACGCATCGACGGGCCCCCAGGGAGGAGGAGGGGACTGCCCAGTGGCTCTCACTTTAGGGTCTGTCTGCTTAGGGCCAGATCTAGACACGCAGACCTCCCGCAGAGCAACTGGAAAGCCCGATGTGGGGGCGAGCTCGGGGAGCCCACATCTGCACGTGTCCTTGTACAGGGTGCCCCAAGTTCTACCACAGCCCCAATGCCTCTTTGCACAGCCCTCCCCTCCGCCCTGCGCCTCCAGCTGCAGCAAAGGCAGCTCACTAAAAAAGTGAGCTGTGGTGGGGAGGCTTGGGGGGCAGGAGGGATGGCAAAAATCACTCATGTGGATGCAACTGTACCTTCTAAAATGAAGTACAGATGGGCAAATTAGGGTGCTCATGTGTATGCAAACCCTGTGTATGAACTAACGTGCGTGGCATGCTGCAGATCACATTTTCATACCAACAGCATGGCTTTAGTGCATTAGGCATAGGCCCGCGTACACACACACACGCACACACACACACGTATACACACCAGTGTTAAGCACTTTTAAGCACCACTCCATGAAGGATTCTGAAATCCTAAATTGGGGACAAATGTGCGGCAGGGTGCTGCAAAGACAGTGAGTGTTGGGAGAAGCCAAGAAATGATTCTTCATTGTATACACGGTGTCCTCCACCTACTCCAAATGTAAATGGCCCCCAGTATCTGGGGTTCTGGGAAGCTGGCAAAGCCACCCCCAACCCAGCTACTTTCTTGCCACTTTCCATCCTCACGCCCAGATGGTGCCCAAGATATAATCGCCATATAACCCCCCTCCCCAAGGCTTCAAGCCATGGAATAAATTTCGAGCCATGCTATAAACTGTGCTTTTGGATGTCATTGAGCGCGCCCGTGCCAATGACATCACTGTTTCCATGGCAACTAATATAATTAACATGAGAGAAAGTGCAAGGAGAAAGAGAAGGAAAAGAGGGAAAACACCAAGTCCAACCCCAAACAGAGAAAATTACACGGTGGGGGAGAGGAGGGGGGCAGAGGGGCCTATAAAATGTTTTACTGCTACTTGTTAGAAAGGCCCGGCATAACTCCGCTCATAGCTGTGGGGGTAATGAGATCATTTGCAAACTGTATCTCTTGCAAAATACAGAAAGGGCTTTGTCGCCTTCACAGTTTATGGAGTTGAAACAGAGGAGCCTGCTCCAGGTGAAGCGGGAACTCCTCCATCTCCTTCCCGGTTCAAGGTTCTTATTAAGCCAGGTCTGCTCTACGCCGGACTCGAAGAGACATAAGCACACCCAGGTTTGGTCCTCTGGGTGTTCATATTCCCAGACGGGAAGTGTGAACACATTGAAACATATCCAGGCGTGAAGCAGAGATGGGCAAGGAGATAAAGCAAACACTCATACTTCTGTGTACAGCAGCAGCACCTCATACCCAGGCTGGGCATTCCAGCTCATAAAAGTCGTTGGCCAGGCCTGGTGGCTTGTGTCTGTAATCTCAGAGCTTTAGGAGGCCACAGTGGGAGGATGGTTTGAGTCCAGGAGTTTGAGACCAGCATGGGCAACACAGCGAGACCTATCTCTAAAAAAATAAAAATAAGAAGGCTGGATGCGGTGGCTCATGCCTGTAATCCCAACATTTTGGGAGGCCGAGGCAGGCAGATCACCTGAGTCCAGGAGTTTGAGACTAGCCTGGCCAACATGGCGAAACTCCGTCTCTATTAAAAATACAAAAATTAGCTGGGGGTAGTGGTGGGCGCCTGTAGTCACAGGTACTCGGGAGGCTGAGGCAGGAGAATCACTTGAACCTGGGAGGCAGAGGTTGTAGTGAGCCGAGATCACGCCACCGCACTGCAGCCTGGGTGACAGAGCGAGGCTCCGTCTCTAAGAAAATCAGCTAGGGGTGGTGGCGTGCACCTGTAGTCCTAGCTACTTGGGAAGTTGAGGCAGGAGGATCGCTTGAGCCCAGGAGTTTGAGGCCGCAGTGAGCTATGATCATGCCACTGCACTCCAGCCTGGGTGGCAGAGTGAGGCTCCATCTCTAAAAAAGTTAACAAAAGAGTCTCAAGTGCACTGTCTTGATGAAGCTTAGTCCTAGGTGCCTGGAATTTTACTCCCATTCAACAGATGAGCACATCGAGGCTCCAAGAGGAAAGCCAACTGGCCTGAGTTGGCCAAGCTGAGCCTTGAACCCAGCTCTGTCAGACTCTGAGGCACTATTTCAGAGTTGTCGGCCTGCTTAGGGTGGAGTCTGAAGAAATCTTTCGTCCAGTCCTGGCTTTCATCCTGTGAGCACTAGTTTAAATCATTCTTCCTCACTATGCCTCGGTTTCTCCAGTTTCCACTACTTGACACGGTCAGAGTCGGAAGGGTGTGGAAGAAATGCACCATCCCAGTCCATGGCCAACCTCAGGAAGTCCATCCCAGTCCATGGCCAGCTGGGCCTGCGAGAGCACCTCACCCAAGGCTTTCAACCGCCATCTGACAGAGACGTGGGGTTCCTCAGAGAGATTTGGGGTGCATATGGGGTTGGGGATGCTAGGAATAGTGGGGGCAAGACTGCTACTTAATTTGTGGTGTCCATGTAAAATGAAAACATGAGGCCCTTATTCAAAAAGAGGGCACTGTACTGTTAAAAGTACTAAAATAGTGGCCAGGCGCGGTGGCTAACACCTGTAATCCCAGCACTTTGGGAGGCCGAGGCGGGTAGATCACTTGAGGTCAGGAGTTTGAGACCAGCCTGGCCAACATGGTGAAACCCCGTCTCTACTAAAAATACAAAAATTAGCTGGGTGTGGGGGCGGGTGCCTGTAATCCCAGCTACTCAGGAGGCTGAGGCAGGAGACTTGCTTGAACCCGGGAGGCAGAGGTTGCAGTGAGCTGAGATTGGGTCACTGCACTTCAGCCTGGGTGACAGAGGGAGAGGGAGACTCTGTCTCAAAAAAAAAAAAAAAAAAAAGCAACTTGACCATGGAGAAACCCGAGAAACTCTACCTTACCAGGTGATCAAGGTCAGCAACCGTGAGATTGTGTTGATAGTATGGATTCTTGCTCTGATAGTATGGATTCTTGCTCTGATGTAATAAGAATCACATTTTATCTCTGGGTCTTCCTCCCCAAAAGGCATAACCCTGGTGTCTTAGTCTGTTTTGTGCTGCTCTAATGAATACCTGAGACTGGGTAATTTATGAAGAACAGAGATTTATTTCTTGCAGCTCTGGAGGCTGAGAAGTCCAAGGTCGAGGGGCCTGCATCAGCAAGGGCCTTCTTGATGTGTCTTCTGATGGTGGAAGGGGGAGAGCAAGAGAGCACATGGGAAGTGGGGAGAGAGAGAGGGAGGGAGGGAGAAGCAGGGAGAGAAAGAGAGAGAAGGGAAGGAAAGCGAAAGGAGGCAAACTTATCCTTTTACCAGCAACTCATTCCCAAAATAACTAATCCATCCAGATATAAAGGCATTAATTCATTCTTGAAGGCAGAGCCCTCACGACCTAATCATCTCTTAAAGGTCCCACCTCTTAACACTATTGCATTGGAGATTCAGTTTCCAACATGCGAACTTTGAGGGGACACGTTCAAAGCACAGCACCTGGTCCAGTTCTGAGAAAAACATTCCCACAGACGGACTTTCTCCAAAATATCTGACTAGTACTCCTCAAAACTATCAAGGCCATCAAAAACAAGGAAAATCTGCGACACTGTCACAGCCAAGCAGAGCCTGAGGAGACATGAGGACCTGAGTGTAATGTGGGATCGTGGATGAAATCCTGAAACAGAAAAAGTGCATTAGGGAAAAACTAAGGGAATGTGAATAATAAAGTATGGGTTCTAGTTAATAATAATGTCATCAATACGGGTTCATTCATTGTAATACATGTACCATACTAATATGTTAATTATAGGGGAAACTGGGTGTGGGGTATATGTGAATTCCCTGTACTGTCTTCACAGTTTTTCTGTAAATCTGAAACTGCTCTTAAAAATGAAGTCTATTGTCCAGGTGCGGTGGCTCATGCCTGTAATCCCAGCACTTTGGAAGGCCGAGGTGGGCGGATCATCTGAGGTCAGGGGTTCGAGACCAGCCTGAGCAACATGGTGAAACTCTGTCTCTACTAAAAATACAAAAATTAGCCAGGTGTGGTGGTGCATGCCTGTAATCCCAGCTACTCAGGAGGCTGAGGCAGGAGAATCGCTTGAACTTGGGAGGTCGAGGTTGCAGTAAACTGAGATTGAGCCACTGCACTCCAGCCTGCGAGACAGAGTGAGACTCCATCTCAAAAAATGAATGAATAAATAAAGTCTATTAAGAAAAGACAAGACACTCCAACACCCCCTCCCCACACACACACCTAGTCCAAAGCCTTCATAGAATGGATGAAGGCAACACAGTGAAGTGTTCACAATCATGGACTCTAGAGGCAGGAGATCTGGGTTCAAATCCTTGTTGTGCTACTCCAGCTGTGTGACCTTGGGCAGCTGACTTGACCTCTCTGAGCTTTAGTTGTCTCATATGTCAAAAGGAGGTGAAATTAACAGTTCTACCATCACAGAGTTGTAGAGATCAGAGGGGGGACTTCAAATGAAGGCATAAGACTTGGCCAAGCTGGTGAGGCTGCACTCTGGGGTGGGGATCCACCCATAGACAAAAATTAGCTGGAGCCTTTTCCATCTGCATCAGCGCAGCCCTGGGACAGAGCATGTCTTTTGAACATATCTATTATACATCCAGGAATGGCTTGGTTTACATGATGACCTTATTGAGTAATGGCAACTCTTAATGCAAAATGCCAGAGTTCACACCTGGTCACTGGGTTGTATCATTGGCCTTCAAAAAAGATGGTGTGATCGCAAGTTTTCTATGATAAAGACACATTCAAAAAGAAATGAGGGTCAGTCCAGATGCAGGAGCTGTGGTATTGGAAGAAATACTTCCACTGGATTTCTTAAGAGTTCTTCAAAAGGGGGCGGTCTCCACTTCTCCCTTCCTCTCTTCTGCGCTCCTCTCCCCTAAGCCTTTTCATGCCTATATTGCTCATGAAAAATCTTAACAGTGGTAGATGTCCTTCCCCTTATAAGGATACCTGTAATCTCTGAACCATGCCAAACCTGATCTCTTGGGAGGTTGGTGCCCCTCCATTCTGAAGATTGTTTGTAAACATAAATGGAACCATCTACTGGGTTCTTTCTTGGACAGCTTAGAGAAAAAGGAGACTAACCCCCAGCAGAGGCTGTATACATGTGCTTGGACAACATGGACTTGTCTCCTTTTTAGCCAAGCTTATTAACTCTCTGGAGCCTTGAGGCCCTCGTCTATGAATGATGGACAGTAGTATTGCCTACCATCCAAGCCTATGGTAGAACTAAAGGAGACAGTGCATAGAGAGTGTGGCGGCCCGAGGTCTGGCATTCAGGAGAGATTGGTTATGATTTACTGAGCTCCAACTAGGAGCTATGCCAGCAGTTGACATTGAGAAATCTCAAACTACGTAACCATCCTCCAAGCAAGATCTTATCTCCCTTTCTCAGGTGAGGAAACTGAGGCACAGGGCAGTTAACAAGCTTGCCTAAGGCCCCCCGGGGAATGCTGAGAAGATGCAGAAAAGCCCACGGTCTGAGTAAGGCTAAGGCACAGTGAGGGATGGACTTGTGTTGCAAGACCCACAGTCCTTAATTCAATTCAGCAACTCTTTATGGAGCACCTACTGTGGGCTGAGTGAAACAAACCTAGACCCTGCCCTTGGCGATTCCCCCAAAGAAGAGCATCAGTGCACACCCAAGACCCAGCTGCCCACTTCTGGGGTCATGAACCAAATGCAGGAAGTCGAGCCCTTGCCCAACAATGGAGCTCTTGGGTGCTGGCACCTAAGACCTCAGAATGTACCCAGAGCATGGCCAGATGCGGTGGCTCATGCCTAAAATCTCAGCACTTTGGGAGGCCAAGGTGGGCATATCACCTGGGCATATCACTATGTTGAGACCAACATAGTGAAACCCCATCTGTACTAAAAATACAAAAATTAACTGGATGTGGTGGCGCATGCCTGTAGTCCCAGCTGCTCGGGAGGTTGAGGCATGAGAATCGCTTGAACCTGGGAGGCAGAGGTTGCAGTGAGCCAAGATTGCACCACTTCACTCCAGCCTGGGTGACAGAGCAAGACTCCATCTCAAAAAAAAAAAAAAGAATGTACCCAGAGCTATGGTGACTTCTGGGATACTCCTTGAGCCAGTAGGGTGACCAACTCATCCTCATTTGCCTGGGTCTTCACAGGTTTTAATACTGAAAGCCCTGAGTCCCACCTGTCAGTTCTGGGCAAACCGGGGCAGTTGATCTCCTGATAGGCAGGCAGGATGTAATGATTATGTGAATCTCATCTCATTCTCACAAGCAGCCAATAAGCTAAGTTCCATTATTATCCCCATTTCACAGATGAGGAGACTGAGGCTCAGTCGAGGTCAAATGGGGCAAGCAGAGGCTAGAGTCAGCTGTGTCTTCTGGAAGAAGGGTTTTTTCCCCCCTAATTCCCACCATGCTACCCTACAGGCTAGCAGCAATTCTATGAACAGAGAGGGGATTTGCACTGAAATTGATGTTCCCTCAGCGACTGGGCTCTTAACCACAACCCTCTAAACTGCCCAGATTACACTGCACTAAGGCAGCAACCCTAGCTTCAGCATTTTCTATACCCTTGGAACAGTGGGTTGAAACATTTACTAAATCATATCTTTGGAGCTTCCCAGGAAAGGGGAACTATTCAAATCCAAGGCGATAGTTTTCCTTTCATTCATAGCACAAGGTCTGCTGTTTGGGGCATTTGGTGCGAGGTGTGCAAACACTGCCAGCTGTAAATATTAATGTTGAGAATCATGGCTGAGCCCATTATCAGCAGGGCTCAGGTTGACTCACAGGTGGCCTTGGACAAGCTGCATCTGAAGGATGCAAAAGGCACCACCTGCCCCAGCAGTCCCCCGACTGGCCTACCACAGCCTGAACTTCCCATATCAGACCTTAATGAACTCAAAGGCAGCATGTGGCTGTCTCCTGCAGGCTGCTAAGATAATGCGTGTTTCCCAAGGAAGGACTCTGGTTCTGTGACCTGGCAGACAGTTGGGATTTTTTTTTTTTTTTTTTAGATGGAGTCTCATCCTGTCACCCAGGCTGGAGTGCAGTGGTTCGATCTCAGCTCACTGCAACCTCCATCTCCCGGGTTCAAGCGATTCTCCTGCCTCAGCTTCCCTGTAGCTGGGATTATAGGCGTGCACCACCATGGCCGGCTAATTTTTTGTATTTTTAGTAGAGACGGGATTTCACCATGTTGGCCAGGCTGGTCTCGAACTGCTGACCTCAGGTCATCCATCCTCCCAAAGTGCTGGGATTACAGGCATGAGCCACCTCACCTGCCTGGGATTGTTTTAAAAAGCAGTCCTGACCCCACTCCAAATTTGGAACCCAGGGGATGGTAAGCTCTGTGCTCACTTGGCCAGGGCATTGTACTTCCCTTGCCCTCCACCAGAAAGCACTTTGTGCAACTCTAAAGCCCCAGAGGAATGGAAGGAACTGTTTCTCCATTTACGCTTGTTGGTGCTGCATTGCTTGGTCACATGTCTCAACTTTCCTGCCCCCTCCCCTTCCAGTCTAGGAGTCTAGGGAGATTTTTACACATGACATCTGCTTCCTAAACATTCCAGTTAAGCCCATGAGTAATGCCCGTCCGTTCCTCTGGTTGCTCTTCCTTCACTGCCCACTTTCACTGCTCCACTTTTCCCCTACCTGCCTGAGTCAGGTCCCTGGTGCCTGGGAGATCTGGGTGACAAGTGCATTTCACTGGGGTGCGCTGGGCGTGGGGACAGGGAAGGAATTTGGGGTGTGAGGGTCAAACAAGTGACTTTGCAGGATGAAGGGGGTGCCTATAAAATAGGGGGACAGCTCCAAGTCAATCTGTCCAGGACAGTTTTTCCCAGGGCTGCTGTGATGGAGCTCCATACCATGGCGGGATCTCTACTGGGCACGGTATGAGATTTACCTTCCTTGGCAAGATGGAAGGATCAATTAATGATGCTTGGAAAGTGCTAGGGCCATGCCCGATACATAGTAAATCACTGTTGTTATTTTGGCTCATGTATTCCCCAACTTATGGCAGAATGTGTCCTCTCCTGTGCAGTGCTCACCGTCGTCCACACATATTCACAAAGCCCCCAAGCACCCATGAGGTGCCAGATGCAGTAGGTAACACCCAGATGTGGAAAGAAACTTCCTGATCACTTGCTCAATGCTAGGCCCTTGACCTGGGTTGCTTTGCACGGCCCTCCAGGGACCCTAATAGGAAGACAGAGTGACTTTTATTTTATAGATTCAGAAACTAAGGGGCCGGGTGTGGTGGCTCATGCTTGTAATCCCAGCACTTTGGGAGGCCAAGGTGGGTGGATCACTTGAGGCCAGGAGTTTGAGACCAGCCTGGCTAACACAGTGAAACCCCATCTCTACTAAAAATACAAAATTAGCTGGGTGTGGTGGTGCGTACCTGTAATCCCAGCTACTAGGGAGGCTGAGACAGGAGAATCCCTTGAGCCCAGGAGGTGGAGGTTGCAGTGAGCTGAGATGCTGAGATTGCACCACTGCACTCCAGCCTGTGTGACAGAGTGAGACTCTGTCCCAGAAAAAAAAAAAAAAAAAAGAAAGAAAGAAACTGAGGTTAAGAGGCAGTGGCATTCAGTATCTTGTTTAAGGGGCAGAACTGGGCTTTGAAGCCTGCTGACGTCTGGGACCAGAGCTCATGGCTTCATCTGGCCCTCTCATGTAGAAGATACAATCCTGCCTTCTAGAAGCTTAAGAACTGCAAGTCAGTCAATGACCTCAGACGAGCATCGATATGGGAGATGTAAGCTCAGTGGAGGCAGATCTCACTGTAGGCAAGAAGGCTTCCAGAAGTCCCCTTTAAGTGGACATGGAGGACTCTGATAGGAGCGAGCCAACAGGACACATTAAAAAGGAGCAGAGGGAATTCGGATGCCAGTTAGACTTGGGGACAAGAGGTGAGGGAGATGCAATTTTGATGGAGGCCCAATTGCAAAGCCCTTAGCAAATAACCAACTGAGGTCAGACTTCATTCCGGAGGCAATGGGAAACTGGTGTTGGGTTTTTGTTTCTTTGTTTGTTTGTTTGAGATGGAGTCTCACTCTGTCACCAAGGCTGGAGTGCAGTGGCTCAATCTCAGCTCACTGCAAACTCCGCCTCCTGGGTTCAAGTGATTCTCCAGCCTCCCTAGTAGCTGGGATTACAGGTGCCCACCACCACACCTGGCTAATTTTTGTATTTTTAGTAGAGATGGGGTTTTGCCATGTTGGCCAGGCTGGTCTCGAACTCCTGACCTCAGGTGATCCTTGGCCTT
The DNA here is from genome assembly GCF_000001405.40 of Homo sapiens. Lineage (NCBI taxonomy): Eukaryota > Metazoa > Chordata > Mammalia > Primates > Hominidae > Homo > Homo sapiens. The sequence goes on from NC_000012.12 coordinate 116,468,512, forward strand.
GGCCTCCCAAAGTGCTGGGATTATAGGCGTAAGCCACCGTGCCTGTCCTGGTGTCAGTTTTTTAAAGGAAGAAAGTGACAAGGAAGCAGTGTCTTGGGAAAATCCATCCAGTTGTGTATCATCATGGTAACTGCAAATACTTCGATGACTACTTTTTGTTCATGCAGCTTCGTATCAGGCACTATGTTCAACCCTTTAATGTCTTATTTCGTTTGTTCAAATAACAGTTTGTGGGAGGTTTTAGAATCATCCCCATTTCCAGTGTCCATCTTTCTATTTCCAGATATTGGGATGAGGTGAATGTATTTTGCATGTAAGATGGACATGAACTTTGAGGGATCAGAAGGTAGCTTGGTGAGGTGACTCACGCCTGTAATCCCAGCACTGTGGGAGGCTGAGGCGGGTGGATCACTTGAGGTCAGGAGTTCAAGACCAGCCTAGCCAACATGATGAAATCCTGTCTCTACTAAAAATACAAAAATTAGCCGGGAATGGTGGCAGGCACCTGTAGTCCTAGCTACTCAGGAGGCTGAGGCAGGAGAATCGCTTGAACCCAAGAGGTGGAGGCTGCAGTGAGCTGAGATCATGCAACTGCACTCCATCCTGGGTGAGACAGTGAGACCCTGTCTCAAAAAAAAAAAAGGTAGACTGTAATGGGTTGAATAGTGTGCCCCTAAAATTCATGTCCACCCAGAACATCAGAGTGCAACCTTATTTGGAAACAGGGTCTTTGCAGATGTAATTAGCCAAGGATCTAGAAGAAAAAATCATCCTGGATCAGGAGTGGGCCCTAAATCTAATGACTGATGCCCTTCAAAGAAGAGAGAATGGGAATTAGAATTACCATTTGAGCCAGCAATCTGCTTACTGGGTACCTACCCTAAGGAAAAGCAATCGTTCTCACAAAAAGATGCCTGAAATTTCATGTTCATTGCAGCACTATTCACAATTGCAAAGACATGGAATCAATCTAAGTGTCTATTAGTGGATGATTGGATAAAGAAAATGTGGTACATATACACCATGGAATACTACGCAGCCATAAAAAAAAGAATGAAATAATGCCCTTTGCAGCAACATGGATGCAGCTTTAGGTCATTATCCTCAGCAAATTAACAAAGAAACAGAAAAACCAAATACTGCATGTTCTCAGTCATAAGTAGGAATGAATAATGGGTACTCGTGGACATAAAGATGGGAACAGTAGACACTGGGGACTCCAAAAAACAGAGGGAAGGAGGGAGGGAAAGGTTAAAAAACTGCCTGTCAGTTACTGTGGTCACTACTTGGGTGATGGGTTCAGTTGAAGCCCAAACCTCAGCGTCACACGATACACCCATGGAACAAACCTGCACATGTATCTCCGAATCTAAAATGATAATGAAAAAAGGAGAGGACGCAGAGACAAAAAGAGAGGAAGACAATGTGATTAGGGAGGCAGAGATTGGAGTGAGGTGACACAAGGCAGCTGAGAAACGCCAACAGTTGCTGGGAGCTGGGACAGAGGTGCGGGACAGACCCTCCCTCAGTGCCTCCAGAAGGAACCGACCCTGAGGACACCTTGATTTTGGACTTCTGGCCTCCAGCACTTTGAGAGAATGAATCTCTGTTGCCTAAAGCCCCCTGATCTGTGGTAATGTGCTGCCGCAGCCTCAGGAAAACAATGCCTATTTTGGACATTTGGGATTCTGACTTCAGGCCCAGACCCCCTCTGCTTTGGCCTGACAAAGGGAGACAGGGACAGTGACTGATGGCATTATGGAGGCCTGCTGGGGTTTGGAGCAGAAAGCAGGGCTGCTGCATCCATAAGGATGTGTGCCCTGGGTCCCACATAGCACCCAGTGCACAGTAGGTGCTCTGCATGTGTGCATGGCGATGGAAACTGTCTGCCCTAGTAGGTGCTGAGTCCTACTGCACAGTGGTTGTCCACTATTATGAAGGGGAGTGTGAAGACCTCTGAGACAGAGCGAGTGAAAGGAGGAAAGTGAGAGAAAGTAAACGGTCTGGATCAGGGTTTGGAGACCAGGAGACACGCGAGGACTGTGCCCGCTTCTCTCCCCTTCAGCCATCAGACAGGGACTGGCTAATTGGAAGGTTCTCAACTGCATCATGCATTTTATTTACGATTGATTGATTTAAAAAAAATATTTTTAGAGGCATGGTCTCACTTTGTCACCTAAGCTGGAGTGCAGCCTCCACCTCCCAAGTTCAAGCTGTCCTCCCGCCTCAGCCTCCCAAGGAGCTGGGACTACAGGCATGTGCCACCATATCAGGCTAATTTTTAAATTTTGTAGAGATGGGAGTCTCGCTCTGTTGCCCAGGCGGGTCTCAAACTCCTGGTCTCAAAAGATCTTCCTGCCTTGGCCTCCCAAAGCACAGGGATTACAGGTTTGAGGCCCCATGCCCAACCCATCACACATTTTAGAACTTAAACCTGACTCTTTCTCCAGTGTGGAGAACTGGAAATAATTCCAAGATCATTCCAAGTGATAATTTTAAGTGCCAGCCTATTAAAATCAGATTCTTATACCCTCATCACTCCCCACAAAAACCACACAACTCTCACAGCAAAAAGTCCTAAATGGGGGTTGGGCGCAGTGGCTCACACCTGTAATACTCCCAGCACTTTGGGAGGCTGAGGTGGGAGGATCACTTGGGCCAGGAGGGTGACACCAGCCTGGGCAACATGGCAAAACCTTGTCTCTGCAAAAAAAAAATAATAATAATTAGCCAGGCATGGTGGCACATGACTGTAATCTCAGCTACTCGGGAGGCTGAGGTGGGAGGATTGCTTGAGCCTGAGATGTTGAGGCTGCAGTGAGCCGCGATGGTGCCGCTGCACTCCAGCCTGGGCGACAGAGTGAGACCCTGTCTCAAAAAACGAAATAAAACAAAAAAGTCCTAAATGGTCCCTATGATACTAAAGGGCTAGAGAGCATATTTGTCCTTTGTTAAAAAAAATTCTTATCTCTCAGCATACAGGAGAGATAGCAGATATTTTTCAGATAGGCTGCTGATTCTTTTTAATCAAAAGGAAATTTAAAAAAAACGGGATGATGTACATTTCTTATGGGGGAGAGCGGGAGTCTTATTCCTTGCCTGTCTCAAAATAGCCTGATGGAACACAGTATTTGCATTATACTCAGGGTCAGCTGCTCTGGGGACCGTGGCCCAGCCCTGCCTGGAGAAAGGAGCGAGGGGCTGAGTTTTTAGATTTACTGCATTAATGCTTCTCTAGTTTCTGTGGAGTAGCCACTGGAGAGAGGCTTGGCTGCGGATGTAGTGAAAGAAATATGCAGAAATGCAGTAACAATAACTAAATATAACTCACATCTGAAATGCCTTTCACTGCACCAGAGTGCTTTCCAAATATATTATCTTATTAAATCCATACAAGAGCTGAGGGAGGTAGGGTCCTCTCCTGCCCCTGTCTTATGGGGGAACGGATTTGCAGAGCCCAGGTCTCACGACGGCATGTTCTTTCATTGCACCTGTGGTCTTCTGCATGGGCTTCCCGGAGGATCCAGATTCCACGGAGATGCCCTGGGCACAGACAGTGGAGATGGGGCTATGTTCATTAAGGCAATGCCAGCTGCTGCAACAAACTGACCCACAAGTATCCATGAGTTAATACAGCATCCACTTATGTCTCACTATGTGGAATCCAAAATGGGTGCCCCTGTTTCTCAGGTAACCTTCCATAGGGTCATTTAGGGATCCCAGCCCCTTCCAGCTTGCTCTGCTCACCACTCAGCCTTTGCATCCTCTGTATTTAGCCTGCAGGTGGAAAAGGGTTTTTATGAACCAGGCCTGGAAAGGCCTCCCCCTGCCCCTGCCATCACTTCCGTCCACTATCCATTGGGTAGTGCTCAGTCACGTGGCTATATTTATCTGCAAAGGAGGCTGGGAAATGCAGCCCAGCTTTATTGCTGGAGAAAGAGGACTGGGTATGGTGAAGAGCCAGCCATTCTGTTTCCTGGGATCTTCCATTCTTTTTAAAAAATCGTTTTTAAGAGATGACGTCTTGCTCTGTCACCCAGGCTGGAGTGCAGTGGCACAATCATAGCTTACTGCAGCCTCAAACTCCTGGGCTCAAGTGACCCTCCTGCCTCAGCCTCCCAAGTAGCTGAGACTACAGGTGTGCACCACCACACCAGGCTAAGTTTAAAATATTTTTGTAGAGATGGGGTCTTGCTACGCTGCCCGGGCTGCTCTGAAACTTCTGGCCTCAAGCAATCCTCCTACCTCAGCCTTCCAAAATGCTGGGATTATGGGTGTGAGCCACCATGCCCAGCCTCCACTCCTACTTCCTGTTCCAAGCAGGGCAGCTCTGATTTTATGCATTTCATATATTGCATTCTGCATAAAATTTAGTTTGAAAAAAGGGCATCCCAGGACTTTATGAAAAATGTGTCAAGGCTCTAGATCAGTGGCCCTCAGACAAGGTTGATCATCTAAATCAATCAGGGAGGTTGTGAAAAACAGATTCATGGACCACTCTCTTGGTAATTCTGATTCTGCAAATACAAGGTCCTTTGTATGTCCAGCTGGCATCTATACCAAGCTTCTTCACTTGCCTTTGCAAATTAATGAACAGATTGGTGAAGGATGGAGACAGCAGATGATCATGGGGCATCAAAGATAGAGATAGCAAGAAATGTTAGTGAGGATGTGGAGGAACAAATCGTGTACAATCACTTATCCAGTAAAGTTGAAGATACACACAGTCTATGATCCAGCAATTCCACTCCACGTTTATGTTTGGGAGAACTCTTACACATGTGCACCCATAGACACATATAGCAATGCATCATTGTTGAGATTTCTGCTACGGTTTGAATGTGTGTGTTCCCTCCAAAATTCATGTTGAAACTCAACCCCCAGTGCAACCGTGTTAAGAGATGGTGCTTTTAGGAGGTGATTAGGCCATGAGGCTCTGTCCTCTTTAATGGGATAGCACCCTACAGAGCAGCTGGAGGGAACTAGGTAAGCCCTTTTACCCTTTCACCTTCTTCCATGTGAGGATACAGCAACAAGGCATCATCCTGCAAGTAAAAACTAGGCCCTCACCAGACACCGAACTTGCCAGTGCCATGTACTTGGACTTCCCAGCCTCCTGCACTGTGAGAAATAAATTCCTGTTGTTTGCAAGTTACTTGATCTCAGGTATTTTTTTACAGCAACACAAACAGACTGATACTATTGCCAAAACTTGGACATGCCCCAAATGTCCATTGACAGTAGATGGGATAAGTGGCTGCAGGTTCCTACAGTGGAGCACAATAAAGCAATGAAAGCCAATAAGCTGCAGCTCCAGACAAGAACATGTTCAAATTTCACAGATATTTTGATGACTACAAAGAAGGAAGAGAAAAATTGATGAGCAGGAGTCCATTTACATCAAGTTGTAAATCAGGCAAAAATGAAACTAAATAGTTTAGAGATATAAACATAGATGGCAAAACAATTAGAAATAAATATCTGAAGAATCAGGATGGGGTGATACCTCTGGGAGAGACACACAAGAGACACCTGGGTGGTGGCTGTGTTCTATACCCCCCTCCCTTCCCCTCCCCTCCCCTCCCCTCCCCTCCCCTCCCCTCCCCTCCCCTCCCCTCCCTTCCCTTCCCTTCCCTTCCCTTCCCTTCCCTTCCCCTCCCCTCCCCTCCCCTCCCCTCCCCTCCCCTCCCCTCTCCTTTCCTTTCCTTCCCCTTCCTTTCCTTTCATCTGCCCTGACATAGGTGAGGGTATCCTTGGATCTAGGGGCCTTCAAGTTGAAGTTTGCTCTCTTTCTCACCACACCCATTCTCCAGTGATGGCCTCACTTCCCTATACCTGACTAAAGGAACTCTCTGCAAATATTTTTAGAACAGCAGAGGTCATTTAAATATTCCAAACACACAATTTCCCAAGGGCTCCCAGGGGACTCCTACATGAAAGCAAGATTCTGTGGTCAAATGTGTTTTGGAAATATTTAGTTATTCACAATTTAAAAGATGCCTGACTGCAGGACTTCTCAGAGCTTTTAATGCCTAAGAAAATCCGAAGGAGGACTAGAAATGCAGAATTTTCCAAACTAACCACAGAGTTTCTGGTGAGACTGGTGTTCCCCAGAATAAACTTTGGGGAAATTCCACTGTAGCTGGAATTTCAGATTGACAGCATAGGAAACAACATTCCTGCTTTCACTGAGTCCACTAAAGAACTGTTTCTGGCCAGGTGCGGTGGCTCATGCCTGTAATCCCAGCACTTTGGGAGGCTGAGGTGGGCAGATTACCTGAGGTCAGGAGTTCAAGACCAGCCTGGCCAACATGGTGAATGAAATCCCATCTCTACTAAAAATACAAAATTAGCCAGGCATGGTGTTGCACGCCTGTGGTCCTAGTTACTCGTGAGGCTGAGGCAGGAGAATTGCTTGAACCTGGGATTTGGAGGTTGCGGTGGGCCAAGATCATGCCACTGCACTCCACCCTGGGGAACAAGAGCGAAACTCCATCTCAAAAAAAAAAAAAGAAATGTTCTGTTGAGGGAAGATGAGCTAGGCAGTGCCCTGGTCTCTGTTTGCCTCACTCTACCTAGCAGCAAAATGGGTGCAGAGTCATTAACACCAAGGCTGTCAAGAGAGTTGATTATACTTTGTTACGTGATCCAGGAAGGACACATTATTATTATCATCAAGGATACATAATAGTGGGCAGCTTCATAGCATCACATAATTTCAGGATGACAAGAAAAGCTTCCCATTAGATCATCTAATTGGTTCCTTTGGTTGGAACAGGAAGGTTCTAGCCAATCTAATCACACCCTTGGCTTTGTGGGCACACCTTCCTCCAAGGAGCTCAAAGGGTTTCACTCTTTTTAGGGTCCAAAGTCTGGAGGGGATAGAAAAGGGGAGGGGTGGTTTCCTCAATTGCAAAACATATTCATTGCTTTAGGTTACAAGAGAAGCATCAGTCCAAGACGCTAAATGGTAGCCCTACTGGTCTAATAGTTACTAGAACCCCACAGTGGAAATTACTCCAACAATTCTCAGAATTGGATGGATTTGGATGGCCCTTTAAGAGGTCATTTAATGGCTTAGCCTCCAGGCACAGCCATGCCCACACCACCAAAGACTGATGCCTGGCCTACATTCTGCCCATAGCTCAAGCTATACCAACTGCTCCTCCTTTGATGACACACAGAGGCTGTATTTTAAAATCCTCACCTACTTGATTTGGAATCACAAAGGTATTAATAGGAATGTCAATCAGTGAAAAAGAGCCAGTTACAGACACTCTCTTTAACTGCTGGTGCATACTTTCTATTGAAAAACAGTACAGTTTGGCATCAAATGGGCTCCAGCATTTGCCAGCTGTGAAATATAGGGCAAGTTATTTAACCTTTGTGAGCCTCTGGGTCTGCTCTGTGAAATGGGCAGGAATAGTACCTACCTCGCAGTCAACATGAGGATTCAGTGTAATGGCATGGCACCATGGGAAGTGTCCAGTAATGGCAGTAACCACCGCAGGCCTTGAAGATGAAGCCTGGGCATGAGATTTTGTGCTGGAAAGATCTTTGTGATAAAGCTGAAGGTCCTTCAGGGAGACCAGTGGTGTTCAATTTAAGGGAGAGGTTAGGTTCACATGTCAGTGTGTAAGGTAAAAGTGGATGGAGTCAAGTTACCGATGAAAATTCTCTGCCCATAAAGTAGGATATATATGGCATTGCACACAGAACATTCAGGTTGGAGAACCACTGAGTCGGACCATAGGAGAGAGTAAAAAGAATGTTTATCTTCAGCTGCCTGGGCATTGAAACCATTCTGTTTCTAAGAAAGTGGGTCTCAGTTGGGGGTGGTTTTGTCCTTGCAGTGGACATTTGGCAATGTCCAGGGAAGGACACTATCATGAACTGCTGGTGGGAATGTAAACCTTCCAACCAGCTGTTCTGCAGAGCATTTTGGCAATAAGTAGCAATGACCTTAAAAAAATACATGTCCTTTGACCAGCAATTCCACTTCTAGGAATTCATCCCAAGGAAATACGAAAGTGTTCGACATCTTACTTAGCTATAAAGACACCACAGTTTTGGCAAGAACAGCAAAAGATGGGGAGCAACTTAAATTCCTGACAATCAGGAACTGATTGAGAAGTTTGCGCTGCTGCCATGTGACACAGCCATTGGGAATGAGGCAAAAGTGTGCGTGCATTGACATAGAAAGGCGTTTTTGATGTACTGTAGAGAAAACAAGCAGATGATAACAAAGCCTTGTGAAACATTTTAGAAGTGTGTATGTGCGTATGTATAGAAAGAAGGCTGATGGCCAATAAACGCACGAAAAGATGCTCAGCTTCGCAGTAATCAGGGAAATACAGAGTAAAATGATGCACCACGCTCACCCACGAAATTGGGCACATGCACAAAATTAAAGATTGATCATTTCCACTCTTGGCAATAGCACAGGGATCAGATCTTCTCATGGACTGCCAGTAGAAGTATAATTTGGTACAGCTTTTTTGGAGAGGAATTTGACATTTATTTATTTATTTATTTATCTATGAGATGGAGTTTCACTCTTGTTGCCCAGGCTGGAGTGCAATGGCATGATCTCATCTGACCACAACCTCTGCCTCCTGGGTGCAAGTGATTCTCCTGCCTCAGCCTCCCGAGTAGCTGGGATTACAGGCCTGCACCACCACAGCCAGCTAATTTTGTATTTTTAGTAGAGATGGGGTTTCCCCATGTTGGTCAGGCTGGTCTTGAACTCCCAACCTCTGGTCCTCCACCCACCTCGGCCTCCCAAAGTCTTGGGATTAGAGACGTGAACCATCGCGACTGGCTGAAAATGTTTATTTTTAAGAGAAGGGTCTTATTCTGTCACCCAAGCAGGAGTGCAGTGGAACCATCATGGCTCACTGCTGCCTTGAAGTCCTGGCTTAAGTGATCCTCCCACCCAGCCTCACGAATAGCTAGAACTACAGGTGTGCATCACCACACCCAGCTAATTTTATTATTTTTAATCTTTTGGTAGAGATGGGGTCTCCATCTGTTGCCCAGGCTGGTTTCAAACTCCTGGCCTCAAGCAATCCTCCCACCTCAGCCTCCCAAAGTGCTGGGATTACAGGCGTGAGCTACTCTGCAAAGCCTAGAATTTGACAATTCTGTCGAAATTTAAATTTCATATTACAGTGCCTCTAGAATTTCACTTCTATGAATCTATCCCACAAAAGTACTTGCACAAGTGGACAAAGATGTATGGTTTGTGTTAGTGATAAGTTGGAAATGACCTGAATACCCATCAGGAAAGAGTGGGCTTGCCAATTGCAATTTGTTGATGTAGTAGAATGTTACCCAGTTGTCAAAGAAAATAAGGAAGATTTAAACGAGTTGATATGTACAGCTCTCTAGGATAGGTAAAGAAAACCAAATCACAGAAACGTACATATTGCATGAATTTGTCTATGGATTTTTTATTTTTATTTTTTTTTTTTTTATGGAGATGGAGTTTCACTCTTGTTGCCCAGGCTGGAGTGCAGTGATGCAATCTCAGCTCACAGCAACCTCCGCCTCCCGGGTTCAAGCAATTCTCCTGCCTCAGCCTCCTGAGTAGCTGGGATTACAGGCATGTGCCACCACACCAGGCTAATTTTTGTACTATTAGTAGAGACGGCGTTTCACCATGTTGGCCAGGCTGCGCTCGAGCTCCTGACCTCAGGTGATCCACCCACCTCAGCCTCCCAAAGTGCTGGGATTACAGGCATGAGCCACCATGCCTGGCTTTTTTTTTTTTTTAATACTACATATATAGCTGTATACACATACAGGTCTATCAATGTATGTGTTATCGAACACGAGGGGTTCGGTCTAAGCCCTGTTGTTTGCTGCACAGAAAGCCAATCACTGAGACAATGAGTATTGCCAAGGAAGAAGCCTTTAATCGGGTGCTGCAGCTGAGGAGATGGGAGCTCAGTCTCAAATCCATCTCCTTGACCAACTAAAATCAGGGGTTTATATAGCAGGGAAGAAATGTAACCACGTGTGGGAAAACAGGTGTAAGGAAGAGGAGGTCAACAGGAAGCAGGTGGTCAGTTAGGCCATCATGTCTTGTGAGGGGACTGACATCTCATTGTCCAAATGCAGTGACCTGGTAAGTTTTAGCTCCTTGATACTATCTGGGAGGCCTGATGACTGGTTTCCTGAGAAAGGAACTCTGATAAGACAATTGTAACTTTCTCAAGTTTTAAGGCTAGGAGGATCGGTTTCTATGCTTATTCAAAGAAACCATAAACATCAGTTCTATAGGACAATTGGGTGAGTTTCATATGGACCAAGTTCTGACAGACTCACACTAAACAGTTAATAGTGGTTATCTCTGTGAAGGATTGGAGGAAAAATATAAGCACTTTCTCTCTTATATTCCACACTTTTTAAACAGTTTGCATGCACGAATGTAATACTTGGCTGATTTTTTTTTAAAAAAAACAAACAAAAAGAACCATGGAAAGATGTGCACACGGAGTCTTTCTGGGCAGAGGGGTTATGGGTGATTTTTTTTAGTTTCTTGTGGCTCGTCAGGATTTTTCTGCTTTTTCTACAATGAACATGTGTTAACTGTGCTATTTTAAAACATTTTTAATTGTAAGAGGAGTAATAGTAACAGAAACATGTACAAAGGCATTTAAATAGAGACAGCTAAGCAAAGTATAGAACATCGCTCTCTAGCTTTAAGAGTTCTGTGATCTAATGGGGTTCTGTCTCTCCATCTCTCTTGTCCCTAACACACGCCTACACATACACACTCTACAAGACAGGACATAGGCAGTAAGTGTTTCTGGAGGTCAAAGGATGAAGGGAGCTGTGTACAATGGGCGGCAGGGAAGGGGGACCGTGTCCTAGGGGCTGCGCTAGTTAGCACTGCCTTGTAGAAACAGGCAGGCTTTAATAGACGGAAACCCTCCAGTAATTGAAATGCTATTATCTGTGCTGGTGGCATCCTGCTCTGGGGATTAATGACCCTTGTTATCAATTAATTCTTCTTGGATTCCAAGCTAGATATTGGCTTTCACGACTTAAGTGGCTTTCTATCATGTTTATCCTTCATGGACGCGGAAACCTTTCTGTACATCTCAATAGAAAAAATAAGCTGTGCACCCCACCCTTCTCCCAGATTAAGACCACAAACAAAGGTGAGGACACTCTCCCTGATGTGAAAACACAGTTCCATCCACCCCTACTGCCACTGGCTAGTCCTTGATAACAGAGAAATGAACTCCAGTGATGGTTTCGTGGGTGTACACTTATCCCCAAACTCATCGAGATGTATACATCAAATGGGTACAGCTTTTTGTAAGTCAATCACCCCTCAATAAACTGGTTAGGGAAAAAAAGAGGCTGGGCGCAGTGGCTCACACCTGTAATCCCAGCATGTTGGGAGGCCGAGGCGGGTGAATCACTTGAGGTCAAGAGTTCGAGACCAGCCTGGCCAACATGCTAAAACCCTGTCTCTACTAAAAATACAAAATTAGACAGGTGTGGTGGCATGTGCCTGTAATCCCAGCTACTTGGGAGGCTGAGGCAGGAGAATCACTTGTACTTGGGAGGCAGAGGTTGCAGTGAGCCGAGATCATGCTATTGCACTCCAGCCTGGGCAAAAGGAGTATAACTCCATCTCAAACAAGCAAACAAAAAATGAAAAAGAGAGAGAGAGAGAGAAAGAAGGAAGGAAGGAAGGAAGGAAGGAAGGAAGGAAGGAAGGAAGGAAGGAAGGAAGGAAGGGCTCTTTGAATCCTTCTTCTCTCTAGGTTTGCATGTTTGCTGTCCGATGCGTGTCTTTATCATGGGCAAACTGTATCACCCCATTCCATCCTTAAATAAACTCCAGGAGGTGACTATGTATTGTCACCATTACACAGATGGGAAAACTGAGACTCTGTTGGCCAGAGAGATTGAGTTCAAGGCCAGGAATAGTTTACTGTGTCTGCCTCATCACAGCTTTGAACTGACAAGGTCAAGGATTTGGATTATGTTCTCTCTGTGCTGATGAGCTTCTGGGTCTCTTTGTGGTAACTACATCCTCCTGCCCCACCTAACCTAGGGCAGACACAATGGCTTTCTGTCTCTGCAGATCAGATCAGAGCATGTCTACACTGGCACACTTCCTGCCTTCCTCTTGCCACCCTGAACAGGGGCTGAGCTTGAATGTAGGCTCTGGAATCTAGAATAGAATGCGTTGAAGACTACTGCCTCTGGGCTCACAGGCAGGTGCAGGAGACAGACCCTCCAACACACAAGTTCAGTACAGCATGGGAAGTGCAATGGTAGAGGAGACATGGCCAGGAGCTGGGACAGGTGGAGAGAAGCTTCCTGAGGAGATGATGTGCAAGCTGAATCCTGAGAAACAAACAGAGGTTCGCTGGCCAGATGGCCGGGCTGGGTGGCTCACGCTTGTAATCCCAGCACCTTGAATCACTTGTGGTGGGTGGATCACTTAAGGTCAGGAGTTTGAGACCAGCCTGGTCAACATGGTGAAACCCTATCTCTACTAAAAGCACAAAAATGAGCTGGGCATGATGGTGCACTCCTGTAATCCCAGCTACTTGGGAGGCTGAGGCAGGAGAATCGCTTGAACCCAGGAGGCAGAGGTTGCAGTGAGCTGAGATCGGGTCACTGCACGCCAGCCTGGCCGACAGAGTGAGACTCCATCCCACCCTCCGCCCCCACGCCCAGAAAAAAGAAAAAAAAAAAAAAAAGCTCACCGGCCAGGAAAGGAGGGAGAAAGGGGATACCAGGAAGATGGAACAAAAGAACAAAACAGTGCATCATCCTGGGCATTGTTTATGTGCTGGCCACAGAGCTATTTGTCTTGGATCTTCTTGTGTGGCAGTCACCCTGTCCTATAAGGCAGGCACCAGTTTATCCTCATTTAACGCAACTTGGCCAAGGATGGGTAGCTGTTAGGGTAAAGGCTAGCAACTGGACCTAGGTCTGTCCGGCTTGAGAGTGAGGGGCCTGACTCTTGCACACTTCTACCTTCCACTGAGCAGTGGTTCTCACCTGAGGGTGATTTGGCCCCCAAGGGACATGCGGCAATGTCTGGATTTTTTTGTTACGATGTGAGGAGGGGGCAAGGCACGGTGGCTCACACCTGTAATCCCAGCACTTTGGGAAGCTGAGAAGGATGGATCACCTGAGGTCAGGAGTTCAAGACCAGCCTGGCCAACATGGCAAAACCCTGTCTCTACTAAAAATAATAATAATAAAAAAATAGCTGGGCATGGTGGCATGTGCCTGCAGTCCCAGCTACTTGGGAGGCTGAGGCAGAAGGAATTGCTTGAACCTGGGAGGGGGAGGTTGCAGTGAGCTGAGTTAGAGCCCCTGCACTCCAGCCTGGGCGACAGAGTGAGACTCCATCCCACCCCCTGACCCCCACCAAAAAAACAATGTGGGGAGGGAGATGCTACTGGCACTTAGTGGGTGGAGGCCGGGGATGCTGCTCGACACGCTGCAATGCACAGGGCACCCTCCCCACTGCAAAGAATGAGCCAGCCCCAAACGTCAGCAGTGCCGAGGCTGAGAAGCTGCAGTGCTGGAGATCCGTCAAACGTCCTATGCTGGGCACCTTATGGGACGCCAGAAAGGACGATGCCGGAAATGAGCTATGGAGACAGGGCCACGCAAGGTCAAAGTGAGCCTTGAGCTGTAGCTTGGGGCCGGCCTGAAGACTTGAAGGGTTTGGGGCAGGGCAGACCTGTACCTTAGGACCAGCGCGGTGGCGCTGTAGGTGACGACGTCTCGGAGGAGGTCAGCACCGCCCTCCAAATGTCCAGGTGAGACTCTTGAGCGGGTGGATGCAGAGGAAAAAGAGCGGAGGGGAGGGAAAAGCAGCTCCTCTTAGCAGCCCATGGGTCGGAGTGGCGTGTCCCACTATGAAGGATGGTACATTAAACCCTCTAAATGAGAGTAGCGACCTGATTAGAGATGGAACTGACGGGCTCCCATTGGGATGCGCGCAGATTAGCACGGTTATTCAAGCAGCTTCAGCGAGCTGCGGAGGAAGCCAGGCAGCCCGAGGGACACCTGGCCTGTGGGTGCTGATGTTCCCCGAGCCTCCCCTTAGTCTCCGCGGGGTCCCCCATCCCTTCACCCCCACTCCTGCAGGCCCCCATTCATGTGTCCTGCTCTTCTTCGAATCCCTTCCACTTGGTCAATATCCTCCTGCAGAGAGAGGCTAGGGATGGGGCTGGGGAAGCCGACTCAGACCCAGCCCTCCCGCAGGTGAAAGCTCCTCTCTGGTCCTGCGCCCCAGCACTGAGCGGGACTTTTCTCCACTGCTGGCCCTGCAAGACGGGTTCTTGCAGGAAGGGTTCTCACAGGGACCAACTTCTGCGGGAGCGGGTAGAATTTATTTGTGCTGAGGATCCAGATGGAGTTGTTTAGGCTGAGCTGAATCCTTTTGCTTAATTCTGAAGACAGGAGGCTCTGGAAATGGACCCCTGAGGATTCTCCACCCCAGGTTAGGCCACTGGTTGACTCATTCCAAAAAACTAAAGTACGTGGGGTGCGGTGGCTCACGCCTGTAATCCTAGCACTTCGGGAGGCTGAGACAGGAGGATCTCTTGAGGCTGTGAGCTCAAGACCAGCCTGGGCAACACACCAAGACCTTGTCTCTACAAAAATTAAAAAAAATTAAAAAAAAAAAAATGCTGAGCATGGTGGTGTGTGCCTGTAGTGCTAGCTAGTCAGGAGGCTGAGGCAGGAGGATCACTTGAGCCCAGGAGTTCAAGTTTACAGTGAGCCATGATTGTGCCACTGCTCTCTAGCCTGGGTGACAGCACAAGACCCTGCCTCAATTTAAAAAAAAAAAAAAGCCTGTGAGTCCTGAGACATGCTGTAAATACAGATGAAGCTTCATTCACTTGCCCGCTGCTCACCTCCTGCTGTGCAGCCTCGTTCCTAACGGGCCACCAATACCAGTCCATGGCTGGGGGTTTGGAGACCCCTGCTATAGATTTCTCAACTCTGGACTCTCGCATGAATGGCATCTTACCATATGTAGTCTTTTCTGACCAATTTCTTTCATTTAACATAATGTTTTTGAGGTTCATTCATGCTGTAGCTAGTGTCAGTACTTCCTTCTATGGCCAAATAACATTCCACTGTGCAGATATATCACATTGTGTTTATACATTCAAATATTCATGGACATTTGGGTTTTGTCCACTTTTTGGCTATTATGAATAATGCTGCTATAGCATTCAGCTACAAGTCTTTATGTGGGCATATATTTTCATTTCTCTTGGAGTATTTGCTGTTTTTATTGCTTTCTTTTATTCCTGGTCATGTTTTATTTATTTCGAGATTTCAAATAACAGAACATGAAATGGTTAATGGTTATACACAGAGAAGGCACGAGTTTAACTGAGCCTTAAGAAATACTGCTCTATGTGATAAAGTGCCTTGATAAAGTGGACAGGAACTCTCCTGAATGGCAATGATCATGTCTGATATTTCTTTTGGATCTATGGCAATTGCTCAGCCAGTGCTGGCTGAGTGACCTGAATGCTTAAATCAATTCAGATTCTACAAATGTTTACTGAGCTGAGTCTTTTCCCCGTGCCTGGGTACATTTATCTTGCAAGGCATAGAAGATCGTATGGCACAAATATTCATTCCCATTTTACAGATGGGGAAACTGAGTGAGGAGCGAAGGCCACAGCCCTGTGGCTTTAAGGAGTACTGGAAAATTGAACTGTGAGAAGTCATCAGTTGCACAGGTGTAGCAATGCACTTTGTATTCCGTTGGCTTCCCCATGGGAATTGGAAGCCGGGGGAGGGGGGGCGGGGTGGGGTCTGCTTTAAGCAGGAAAATCTGGGTTGTCCCAACAGATACACGATCTGGTGTTACTCGTTTTACAAAATTTCTTTATTGCACAAAATAACTGAAGATCACGGTCCTTGCTGGGTTCCCGGGAGGCCGGTGCTTTTCAGTGCTGCCGGCTGCAGAGTGCATCACTTCACACGCCAGCTGGGCTTCTGGCGGAGTTGTAAGTCAAAGTTTTGTAAATTAGATCGTATTTTAGGGAAGAGATAAAAGAATAAGACTCTGAATCTTTGAGAAGGATCTGTGTGTGTGGCGATAATCAGAACCGGATTTATGATTCCTGTAAAGACAAAAATCAGAGATAAATGTCAACAACGCCAGGAATCCCGTGATAATTAATTAAGAGCCTATGTGTGTAACAGGCACTGTCCTAGCTTTCAAGATTTTTTTTTTCATTTAAATCTTGCACAAGCAGAAGCATTGACCACAAAAATTGTGTTTGAGGTAGGTGTTATTGATCGCCAGCTTAAGAGTTGGGGAAACTGAGGCTGGGGAATATTAAGTAACTTGCCCAAGGTCACAAGAACTAAGAGGTAGAGTTCGAATTCCAACCAGACCCATACTTGTTTTTATTGTTTTATTTTGTTTTTGTTTTCTTTGGAAGCACTGGTTCTTTCCAGGAGACAGTCCACGGTTATGTGTCAACTCAGAGGTCAAACTGCTTGGCTGGAGCCCCAGCTTCATCCCTTACTCTCTGTGCATCTGTTTCCTGGGCTGTAAAATGAACTGCAAAAGACCTACCCTAAAACATGGCCGTGAAGTTCAATTTATTTAAAGCGCCTGGCACACAGCAAGTGCTTAATAAGTGCTAGCAATCATCATGCTGAACTGCTCTTGTAATAAAAGGATCCTTTCGTTAAATAAATTAAATAAATTGAACTTCACAGCTCTGTTTTAGGGTAGGGCTTTTGCGGCTCATTTTACAGCATTTATCAAGCACCTACAGTTCACAGCATAGCCCAATGCCCCAACATCATTCTACGCTAGGATTATAATTGGATCATCCCTATTCCGTAGTCGCTTACTCACTGTGGGACTTTAGCAAACTGCTTAACCTCTCTGAGCCACAGTTTTGGTAAAAAGAGGCAATAAGCCAGGCGCGGTGGCTCACGCCTGTAATCCCAGCACTTTGGGAGGCCGAGGCGGGCAGATCATGAGGTCAGGAGATCGAGACCATCCTGGCTAACACGGTGAAACCCCGTCTCTACTAAAAATACAAAAAAAATTAGCCAGGCGTGGTGGCGGGTGCCAGTAGTCCTAGCTACTTGGGAGGCTGAGGCAGGAGAATGGCGTGAACCCAGGAAGCGGAGCTTGCAGTGAGCCAAGATTGCGCCACTGCACTCCAGTCTGGGCGACAAAGGGAGTCCATCTCAAAAAAAAAAAGGCAATAGCACTCACTCCCAAAAGGGCCACGGTGATGATTCAGTGAGCTACACAAGGTAAAGTGACTTAAATTAGGAATCACTCAGATGGCAGTCCTTATTATTATCATTAGTATTGTTATTTGAGATGGGATCTCGCTGTTCATCCAGGCTGGAGTGCAGTTGTGCAACGATGGCTCACTGCAACCTTAAACTCCTGGGCTCAAGTCATCCTCTCACCTTGGCCTCCCAAGTAGCTGGGACTATAGGCATGCACTGTCAAACCCAGCTAATTTTTAAAAAAATTTTTATAGAGATGGGGGTCTTGCTATATTGCACAGGCTGGTCTTCAACTCCTGGGTTCAAGTGATCTTCCCATCTCGGCCTCCCAAAGCTCTGAGATTACAAGGGTGAGCCACAGTGCCCAGCCAGTCCTTGTTATGATTATGTGCTAGGAATTTTACACATGCCCTTTCCAGTGAATCTCACCACAATTCTAGGTTTTAGCTTTAAGAGGAGAAGGCTGAGGTCAGAGAGGTCAGTAACTCTCCAGGTGCCACCAATGGTCTGGGGTGGAGCAGGGCTTAGTGCTGAGGCCCATCAGGCATTGAACGTGCCCTGAAGGTTATCTATAGAACAGCCATTCCTGGCCAGGCGCGGTGGCTCACGCCTGTAATCCCAGCACTTTGGGAGGCCGAGGTGGGTGGATTATGAGGTCAGGAGATTGAGACCATCCTGGCTAACACGGTGAAACCCCATCTGTACTAAAAATACAAAAAATTAGCTGGGTGTGTTGGCGGGCGCCTGTAGTCCCAGCTACTCGGGAGGCTGAGGCAAATACAAAGAATTAGCTGGATGTGGTGGTGCGTGCCTGTAGTCCCAGCTACTCAGGAGGCTGAGGCAAATACAGAGAATTAGCTGGATGTGGTGGTGCGTGCCTGTAGTCCCAGATACTCGGGAGGCTGAGGCAAATACAGAGAATTAGCTGGATGTGGTGGTGCGTGCCTGTAGTCCCAGATACTCGGGAGGCTGAGGCAAATACAGAGAATTAGCTGGATGTGGTGGTGCGTGCCTGTAGTCCCAGATACTCGGGAGGCTGAGGCAGGAGAATGGTGTGAACCTGGGAGGCAGAGCTTGAATTGAGCCGAGATTGCACCACTGCACTCCAGCCTGGGTGACAGAGCAAGACTCCGTCTCAAAAAAAAAAACAAAACAAAAAAAAACAGAACAGCCATTCTTCTCTACCCCTGCCCCCTGATTTTATTTGGGTATACACCATCCCATGTATAGAGAATGAGACTTATCCCTACTCCCAGAGGAACATGTGAATGTGAGTGTTCTGGGAATGAGATTCCAAGAGGACAATAGACGTGCAAGAAATTTACTGAGATGCCTGTGAAGGATAAGAGAAAGAGAGCAGGAGTGGTCAGGGAAAATCTTTAGGGTGTGATGTGGGTCTGACACCTGGGAAAAGAGAGGGGGAAGGAAGGAGGACTGGGTTGGAAGAGGTTCAGGCTGCAGCCCAGCTCTGAGAAAGTCTCAGCCAGGCTGATGGGGAGTTAGAGTCCCACACTGGGCAGAAGTGCCCAGTTCTAGGCATGGTGGCTCACGCCTTTAACCCCAGCACTTTGGGAGGCCAAGGCGGGTGAATCACTTGAGGCCAGGAGTTTGCAACCAGCCTGGCCAACATGGTGAAACCCCGTCTCTACTGAAAATACGAAAATTAGCCAGGCATATTGGCACATGCCTGTAGCCTCAGCTACTCGGGAGGCTGAGACAGGAAAATTGCTTGAACCCGGGAGGCAGAGGTTGCAGTGAGCCAAGATCATGCCACTGCACTCCAGCCTGAGTGACAGAGTGAGACTCTGTCTCAAAAAAAAAAAAAAAAAGAAGAAGAAGAAGAAAAAGAAGTGCCAGCTCTAGAACCCGCACTATACAGTTCCTGTCTGGGAGCAGTCTGGGGAGAGCAGAGTCTCTGCATGAAGCAGATCCAATGGTGCAGCACCCATAGGCTGTCAGATACCTACCCTCCCCACAGCAGGTTCTCTTGAAGGGAGATCTGAGCGGTGCAGCTCCATGGCCACCACAGGTACATGTCCTTAGGCCAAGTCAATCAAAGCAATTTCACTGCCCTTGGTAGCGCCTGGTTTGGGCAGAGTAGATGATGCCCCTGGATCAATGAGACATACGGGAAGTCTACTGAGGGGTTTGTGGGAAAGGTGTTTTTCTTCTACCTCTCACCTCTCAATGCAGCTATATGAGGATGTGGTGTCTGGAGCTGTGGCAGCCACCTTGAGATCATGAAGTGACAAGCATGAAGGCAAAAGCCAATACGCTCAAGGTAGAGTAGGGAGATGGAAAGAACATGGAGCCTTGATGACATCAGTGTGTCCCTGAATTAACCACCCTGGAATATCCTCCCTCAAGAAACTTGTCAGTTGAGATCACAGGTCTCTTATTGCTTAAATTATCTACTGCTATGTAACAAATTACCCCCAAACTTAACAGCTTCCTAACAACAAACATTTATATCGTACACAGTTTCCAGGAACCAGGAATCAAGAAGCAGCTTACCTGGAAGGTTCTGGCTCAAGGTCTTTCATGAGGTTGCAGTCAAGATGCTGGGCAGGGTGGCAGGTATCTGAAGGCTTGACTGGGGCTGGCAGATCCTTTCCCAAGATGGCACACTCAC
Source organism: Homo sapiens (assembly GCF_000001405.40). Classification (NCBI taxonomy): domain Eukaryota; kingdom Metazoa; phylum Chordata; class Mammalia; order Primates; family Hominidae; genus Homo; species Homo sapiens. The sequence goes on from NC_000012.12 coordinate 116,488,427, forward strand.
GTGGCTGTTGGCCAGAGGCCTCAGTTCCTCACCATGTGGACCTCTCCATAGAGCAGCTTGAGTGTCCTTACAACATGGCAGCTGGCTTTTTCCAGAATGAAAGTGATTCAAAAGTGAGAGAAAGGAAGAGGCTACATGCTCTATATGACCTAGTCTCTGAAATCACACACTGTCTCTTCTATCTTATTCTGTTTGTTAGAAGCAAGTCACATAGCTCAAGGGGAGATAAATTAAGCTCCACCTTTTAAAGGGAAGCACATTGGCCTAGTGTGGTGGCTCACACCTCTAATCCCAGCACTTTAGGAGGTCACAGGGGGAGGATCACTTGAGCCCAGGAGTTTGGGACAAGTCTGGACAACACAGTGAGACTCTGCTTCTACGAAAAATATAAAAATTAGCCAGGCATGGTGGCAGGCACCTATAGTTCCAGCTACGTACCTGTAGTCCTCAGTCCCATGCTGAGGTAGGAGGATCTCTTGAGCCCAGGAGTTCTAGACCAGTCTGGGCAATATAGTGAGATCCCATCTCTGCAAATACATTAAAAAAATTAGCCAAGTGGGGTGGCATGCACCTGTAGTCCCAGCTACTCAGGAGGCTGAGGTAGGAGGACCCCTTAAGTCCAGGAGTTCAAGGCTGCGGTGAGCTATGATTGCACCACTGCCTGGGCAATAGAGTGAGACTCTCTCAAAAAATAAAACAAAGGGAGCTGTATCAATGAATTTTTGGATTTAAAACCACCATAGCTACTTTCAGCTGTGCCCTCTTTATTTACAGAGATCCCCAAAGCCGATAGTCTTTACATCACACATCACTGCCAGGCCGGGCAGGGAAAAATTGTGTGCTCAGGAGATTACAACAGACCCTATAATCCTCAGAAGACTTTTCAACTGAGAAATCATCCAGTTCCAAAAGATTCTTGCAGAATAAGTCTGCTTAAAGGTATATATGCCTGTATAAACATGCCCTACCTAAAAATAAACTTAGATGTAATCATCCATTAGGAAATACCAAAAATACACAAAAAGGGATAAAGAATAATTTTAAAACTCCTTTGACCCACCACCTCGCTTAAGAAATAAAATAATACCCATGTGATGGAAACTCTAGATCTTCATATACTCTGATCATATTGTTCTTCTCACCCGCAGTGGGAACCACGACCCATATTTGGATGTTTTTCATTCCCACAAGTTTTTTTTTTTTTTTTTTTTTTGAGACAGCACCTCTCTCTGTCACCCAGGCTGGAGGGCAGTGGTGCGATCTCAGCTTACTGCAACCACTGCCTCCTGGGTTCAAGCGATTCTCCCGCCTCAGTCTCCTGAGTAGCTGGGATTACAGGCACCCACCACTACACCCAGTTAATTTTTTGTATTTTTTTTAGTAGAGACATGGTTTCTCCATGTTGGCCAGGCTGGTCTCAAACTCCTGAGCTCAAATGATCGGCCTGCCAAAGTGCTGGGATTACAGGCATGAGCCACCGTGCCTGGCCCCACTACTTTCTTTAACTGTGCCTGGTATAGACCTGTGCAATATCTGGTATCATTTTGCATGTTTCTAAGCTTTGTGGAAATGAGGGCATACTGAACGTATTCTTCTGACACTTGATTTTTTTTTCTCTACACTATGTATGTAAGCTTCAACCATGCAAGGAGATGGAAAAATGGAAATCTCATACATTGCTGATGGGAAGGTAAAATGGTGCAGCTGCTTCAGAAAACAGTCTGGCAGTTTCTCAAAAAGTAACACAGAATTGCTGTATGACCCATCCACTCCTAGGTATATACCTGAGAGAAATAAAACATATGTCCATATATAAAAGCCTGTACGTGAATGTTCCCAGCAGTGTTATTTATATTTTTTGTTTTCTTTAAATACCCTGCTGGATGCCAGAGTGTTATTTATAATAGTTTTAAAAAGCGGAAACAACTCACATGTCCGTCAGTTGATAAGTGGATAAAATGTGGCTTATCCATACAGTGGAATATTATTTGGTCGGAAAATGGAACGAAGTACTGAAACATGCTACAACAAGGATGAACCTTGGAATTGTGCTAAGTGAACAAAGCCAGGCCCAAAAGACCACATAGTATACAATTCCATTTATGTGAAATATTCAGAATAGGGCAAATCCATAGAGACAGAAAGTAGATTAGGGGTTGCCTGGGGCTGGGGGTAGGGAGGATTGGAGAGTGACTGCTCAGTGAGTACAAGGTTTATTTGGGGGATGGTGATAATATTCTGGAATTAGATCATGGCGATGGTTGCACAACTTTGTGACTACACTAAAAACCACAGCATTGTACACTTTTAAAAGTCAATTTTATGACATATACATTCTATCTCAATAAAAACAGATTCAACCACAGTATTCATCTGTTCTCACACTGCTAATACAGACATACCCGAGACTGGGTAATTTATAAAGAAAAAGAGGTTTAATGGACTCACAGTTCCACATGGCTGAGGAATCATGGCAAAAGGTGAACTAGAAGCAAAGGCACGTCTTACACGGTAGCAGAGAAGAGAACATAAGTAGGGGAACTACCCTTTATAAAACCATCAGATCTCATGAGACTTATTCACTATCATGAGAACAGCACGGGAAAGACCCACCCCCATGATTCAATTACCTCCCACCAGGTCCCTCCCATGACACGTGGGGATTATGGGAGCTACAATTCAAGATGAAATTTGGGCGGGACCACAGCCAAACCATACCAACTGTGTTAACACAGAGGCTTGATAGTCCATTTTCACTACCGTATAGCAATCCGTTAGTATGACCATTATACATCTATCCATTCTCCCATTAATGGGCATCGGTATCATTTCTCACTTTGCTGCTATTCCAAGCAGTGGTACTGTGAACATTCCCTGCGCATCTCTTTGCGCACGCAGGAGGGTTTCTTGAAGATACATAGGAAGAAGGGTGGTTGCTGGGCTGTAGCGTTTATGCATCTTCAACTTCACACCCCCACTCTCTAAACTCCTTCCTCAGTCTAGGGAGAGAAGGAAAGGAAGCGAGCTCTGCCTCCACCCTTGGCCCCTGCAAACCTCCCGAGGTCTCAGGAAATAGGGCAACTGAAATGGAAAACAAATAGCACAAATCAAATGGTGGGCTGTTTCCCCTGCCACCACCGTTCGGAGACCCGCTGGATGGGCAGCGGGGCCTCCCCCACCAGAAAATATTAACAGCATTTAATGAATATTCACAAGGATTCATTAAACATTTCCCAGTGCGGCTGAACAAAACAGTGTTCAAACCCCCAAGCCATTAACAAAAAAGGAAGAAGAAATATTACAGGGACGATATGCGCAAGCTAAAAATGCCACAAGCAAGAAATCACTTTTATTTTATTTTTTTTCAACTCAACTTCATCTCCCTCATCTCACTGATGTTTAGAAGGGCCCCAGTGTGCTGAGTCTTTGTGAAGACTTGGAATAGGACAGCCCTGATTACCATTACTATGATTGTATTTTTCTACTTCATATACACAGGAAGTTGTTTCACCACAGCAATAATATTTATTTATTTGTTTTTCAGAAAGAGTCTCACTCTGTCACCCAGGCTGGAGTGCAGTGGAGCAATCTTGGCTCACTGCAACCTCTGGTTCGCAGGTGCAAGCAATTCTCCTGCCTTAGCTTTCTGAGTAGCTGGGACTACAGGCACGTGGCACCAGGCCTGACTAATTTTTTGTACTTTTAGTACAGATGGGGTTTTGCCATGATGGCCAGGTGGGTCTCGAACTCCTGACCTCAAGTGATCCACCCGTCTCAGCCTCTCAAAGGGCTGGAATTACAGGTGTGAGCCACCATGCCCAGCCGATATTTAAATGAGACATTTAAGTTGAAAAGAGCTTCTCAGCCGGGAGTGGTGGCTCACGCCTGTAATCCCAGCCCTTTGGGAGGCCGAGGTAGTGCCGATCACTTGAGGTCAGGAGTTCGAGACCAGCCTGGCCAATATGGCAAAACCCCATCTCTACCAAAAAATACAAAAATTAGCCAGGTGTGGTGGCACATGCCTGTAGTCCCAGCTGCTTGGGAGGCTGAGGCAGGAGAATTGCTTGAACCCGGGAGGCAGAGGTTGCAGTGAGCCAAGATCGTGCCACTGCACTCCAGCCTGTGTGAGAGAGCAAGACTCTGTCTCAAAAAAAAAAAAAAAAAAAGAGCTTTTCTATGGGTCACCTCATTGGATGCACATAGCTCCCTGGTTGGATGGTGCAAGTTCTCTTATCCTCATTTAACAGACAAAGAAACCAAGGCCTATGATCATTAGTGGACTCAACCAACATCACTGTACTGAGGTGAGGCTATTATATACTCAGTGCTTTGGCATCTTCCCAGGAAAGGTGACGTTGTGACCTCAACACCCGGATCCCATAGCAAACAGGCCCAAGCATAGTGGTCTTGGATGAGAGTGCTGCCTGGCAGAGTCGCCCGCTCCCACCGTAGAGTGACTGGAAGAGCCAGCTAGACACTCTTTCTGGGGAGGCTAAGTCTATGGGATGTGAACATAGACGAGTTGGGAGCTTGGACAAACGCTGAAAGACAAACAGAGGGAAAAGTCAGGGAAGCAGAAAACATGAGTCAGCAGAAGTCATCAGTCAGTAGAAACCATGAGTCAGCAGAAGTCATCAGTCAGTAGAAACCATGAGTCAGCAGAAGCCATGAGGCCTTGGAAGCCCAAAGCAACAGTCTCAGGCCCATAGATTGGCTGGTGGAATGGGGAGCAGTAGACAACAGTCTAGAGACTGGGTGTGGTGGCTCACGCCTGTAATCTCAATACTTTGGGAGGCTGAGGTGGGGAGATGGCCTGAGGCCAGAAGTTCAAGACCAGCCTGGGCAACACAGTGAGATCCCATCTCTACAAAAATTAAAATAAAATAAGAAGTAGAGCTAGAGAGTAGTTAGAGCAGTTTATCTGCAGAACACTTCAGTGGGCACTGCAGAGTGGTAAATCCTGAAATACTTTCTTTATTTTTTTTGAGACAGAGTCTCAGTCTGTCATCTAGGCTGGAGTGGAGTGGCGTGATCTTGGCTCACTGCAACCTCTGCCTCCTGGGTTCAAGCGATTCTCATGTCTCAGCCTCCTGAGTAGCTGGGATTATTGGCATGCGCCACCACTCGGCTAATTTTTGTATTTTTAGTAGAGACAGGGTTTCACCATGTTGGCCAGGCTAGTCTTGAACTCCTGACCTCAGGTGATTCGCCCGCACAGGACTTCCAAAGTGCTGGGATTACAGGTGTGAGCCACCGCGCCCAGCCTAATCCTGAAATACTTTCCACTCTCAGCAAGACCTGGCTGTGCCTTACTAGTGACTGATCCTTTTTCCCTGTTTCCCCATTTCCTTTATTCTAAGCCAGTGATTCTCAATTACAGGTGACTGTGCAATTACAACATCTGGAGATCCTCCCTCACTGGGGGACAGGTCCTACTGGCACCTCATGGGTAGAGGCGAGGGATGCTACTCAGCATCCTACAGTGCACAGGACAGCCCCCATCACAAAGAATCATCCAGAAAGTCAATAGTGCAGAGATGGAGAAACCCAATGGAGGCCTCCTTTCAATCAGTGTTTTAGGGTAGGTAGGTTCTCTGGAGCAGAAGCTGAGACAGACTTTGAGGTCCAAGGGATCAACATTGTGAAAGGGAGGAAGAGAAGGAGGAGGAGGAGGAGCAGGAGAAGGAGGAGGAGGCGGTAGCAGGACTGGGCATCAGTGAGATGAGGGAGATGAAGTTGAGTTGAAAAATAAAATAAAATAAAAGTGATTTCTTGCTTGTGGCATTTTTAGCTTGTGCAAATCGTCCCCGTAATATTTCTTCTTCCATTTTTAAGAAGTTGAACTGTGATGTGGGCACAAGACCTTGGCCAGCCCCATGGGCATAGATGACCTGTCAGAGTTGTCCCTGCCATGGGCCAAATTGGCCAGGTCTTTATATTCCTGTAGGGGTCAGTCACTGGATACAGGCTGAACTGGGAAGGGTACAGCCTGTGCGAGCTGGCTGCAGACAGCAGAGGCAATTCCTGAGGGGGGCTGACAGCTGTATGCCATCTGTGAGCCACCTTCCCAGCAGCTGAACTCTAAGTCCTTCCTTGAAGGCGGATCCAGGTGGCTTATCACCGTGTTCATCACAATGAATAACCATTGACCTGCTAGTTCATGCATCCACTAATTCAGGAAGTTTTGATGAAAAGAGCAGTCCCAGTTAGAACCTACACATAGATGAGTAGGTCTCCATAAGCCAATGCGATTAGCACAACTGAAGACAAAGGAGAAGCCTGGAAAATAAAATTTATATTTCTAACTTTGTTTTCCCTAAGTCAAATGAGATGCATACAACGTATCTCTTGGTCAGCATTAAGATGAATGGGTGAATTGATGAATGAATGAATGAGAGGTTGCAGTGGCTCATGCCTGTAATCCCAGCACTTTGGGAGGCCGAGACAGGTGGATTGCTTGAACCCAGGGGTTCAAGACCAGCCTGGGCAACATAGCAAGACCCCGTCTCTACAAAAGATTTTAAAATTAGCTGGGTGTGGTGGCGTGCATCTGTGGTCCCAGCTACTCAGGATGCTGAGGTGGGTGGATCACTTGAGCCTGGGAGGTTGAGGCTGCAGTGAGCTATGTTTGCACCACTGCACTCCAGCCTGTGTGACAGAGCAAGACCCTATCTCAAAAAATAAAGAAAGAAAAGAAAAGAAGGGGGCATAGTAATAGTGGCCATTGATTATTTAGTGTGCCAGGAGCTCTGCTAAGTGATCTATATATATGATCTCTCAACCTCACAAAAGCCTTTTAGGGTTTTTCACCCCATTTTATGGATAAGGCTTGACTTAATCACCTATTGCTGCAGAACAAACTACCTAAAAATATAGTGGCTTAAAGCACTCACATGGCTGTTGGCTGGAGGCCTCAGTTCCTCCACAGGGACATTCCCACAGGGCTGTCGAAGGCTCCGCATTCCCTGGCAGCTGGCTTCTCCCAGAATGAGTGATCCAAAAGACTCCAAGGAGGAAGCCACAAGGCACTGGGTGACCCTGCCTTGGAAGTCACACAGTGTCACCTAGCCACATTCCTTTACTTAGAAGTGAGTCATTAAGCCTGGCCCATGCTCAAGAGAAGAGGAGTTAGGCTCCTTCTTTTGAAGAAAGGAGTAGCAAAGAATTTGTGGGTATTTAAAACCACCCCAAGGCTCAAGCTATATAATTGGTATTTGGTGAAACTGGGGTTTATCCATTCATTCATTCCATAAATAGCAGCACTTCTGTCTTTGCAGTCCAATGTGGTAGCCACTTGCCACATAGGCTGTTGAACAGTTGAAACACAGTTGATGTGCCTGAGGAATTGTATTTTTTATTTTATTCAACTTTATTTAATTTAAATTTAAAACTAAAAAACTGATTCATTTAACTGTTGGAAAACTTTGACATCTGTTTGGAATAACTTAGCCTCCTTGTAAATTTTATAAAACCTAATAAGATCAAGTATTTCCAGCCGGGCACGGTGGCTTATGCCTGTAATCCCAGCTACTTGGGAGGCTGAGGCAGAAGAATTGCTTGAACCCAGGAGGCGGAGGTTGTAGTGAGCCGAGATTGCGCTATTGCACTCCAGCCTGGGCAACAGGGCAAGATTCTTGTCTCAGAAAAAAAAAAAAAAAAGATCAAATATTTCCAATGAAAATTTAGACCCAAATTGAGATGTGCTGTAATATAAAATATACACTGGATTTTGAAGACTTAGTATGAGCAAAAAATAATGTAAACTACCACATTCACATTTTTGTATTGATCACACGTGGAAATGAAAATGTTTTTGGATATATTGGATTAAATAAAATATATTACTAAAATTAGTAAATTAGTTTTATCTGTTTCTTTTGACTTTTTTTTTTTATTTTAAAGAGACAGGGTGTCACCCAGGCTGGGGTGTTGAGATCATAGCTCACTGCAACCTTGAACTCGTAGGCTCAAGCGATCCTCCCGCCTCAGCCTCCCAAAGCACTGGGGTTACAGGCATGAGGTACCACATGCCTGTACCTTTCTGTTTCTGTTTCTTTCTGTTTTTTAAGGTGGCTGTTTAAAAAATTGTAAATTATTATGCCTGTAACTACTAGCACTTTGGGAGGCCAAGGCGGGCAGATCTCTTGAGGTCAGGAGTTTGAGACTGGCCTGGCCAACATGGCAAAACCCCATCTCTACCAACAATACAAAAATTAACCAGGCCTGGTAGTGTGTGCCTGCAATCCCGGCTACTCTGGAGGCTGAGGCATAAGAATCACTAGAACACAGGAGGCAGAGGTTGCAGTGAGCCAAGATTGCGCCACTGCACTCCAGCCTGGACAACAGAGTGAGAGTCTTGTCTCAAAAAAAATTTTTTTAATTAAAAATAAATAAACTACCTATGTGGCTTATCTTATATTTAGATGAATGGCACTGTATTCCATACTAAATGCTATGGATCCATAGTTCCTACTTTCATGGGGCTTGCCATCAAAAGAAGACAGCTATTAAGTAATTAATCCAAAGACTCAATTGAAAAATGATGTTACAAGGCAGAGATCAGGGGAGCTGTGAGTTTCACAGGGGATCTGGCCCAGATTGGCCTGTCTCCTAAGTAAGCCGGTGATTTGAGAAGGGAGGGAGTTACAAAGCCCAGGCGTGGGAGCATCTGGTGGGAGGTGGATGGCAGAGTCTCTGCACTGGGGGACAAGGCACCAGCTCCCGGGGTTCAGAGCCAGAGGAAGCGGATGCACCAGGAACGCTGTCACTTTGATGTGCAGGCAGCGAGGCGGCAGGGCGCGGCTGGGCTGCCCTCAGCTGTCAGGTTGGCACTTGCTGCCCTGCCTACGCAGTAGCCAGGCTCCGGAGGCCTCCAGATATCTCTGGGCGTGGCCTCCTGTGGCTGTGCTGGAAATCACCTGGGGGTCCCACAAAAGCTAAGCACCAAGCAGGAGGCTGGCCCTGGCTCTGACCTGGGCCAACCCTGAGTTCCGGATCTCTGGGTTCTTGCCCAGGCACAGGCCGGAAGGTGCCTTTGACAACCACGCAAGGGCTGGACCATGACAACTGGGACTTTCTGAGTCCCTGCTGCTGGCTGGCCAGTGGCTCATGGCAGCCTCGGGTGATTCAACCTGGCCCCTTAGCCACATTTCTCCTTCCTTCCCCAAATCCGCCCTTCTTATGTGACCCAAATTCCTATTGTTCCTAAAACACACCAGGCTCGTAGCAGCCACAGGACCTTTGCCACTTGCCATATCGTCTCCCTAGAACAACTCCCTTCACATATTGGCATAGTTGGCATCTTCTTGCCATGTGAGTCTCAGCTCGAGTCACCTCCACCCCTGACCACTTTCCTAACATTCTCTCCATGCCTTGAGTCTTTATAGTGACTCTCTGTCTCATTTCCCTGCGGATTTTTGTTCAGGTCATACTCCTCACTACCTTTCTTTAAATAAATAAATAAATGTAAGGCTGGACTCAGTGGCTCATGCCTGTAATCCCAGCACCTTGGGAGACTGGGGCGGGCAAACCACTTCAGGCCAGGAGTTCGAGATCAGCCTGGCCAACATGGTGAAACCCTGTCTCTACTAAAAATACACACAAAAATTAGCTGGGCGTGGTGGCGCATGGCTGTAGTCCCAGTTAATCAGGAGCCTGAGACAGGAGAATTGCTCGAACCCAGGAAGCAGAGGTTGCAGTGAGCCGAGATCATGCCACTGCACTCCAGCCTGGTGATGGAGTGAGACTGCATCTCAAAAAAAAAAAAAAAAAAAAAAAAAGCTTAAAAATATACAAATTAGCCAGGCATCGTGGTACATGCCTGTAGCCCCAGCTACTCTGGAGGCTGAGGCAGAAGAATTGCTTGAGCCCAGGAGGTGGAGGTTGTAGTGCACCCCAGCCTAGGCAACAGAGCGAGACTCTGTCTCAAATATAAATAAATAAATAAATAAAGTTTAGAGATGGGATCGCACCATGTTGCCCAGGCTGGTCTCCAACTTCTGGCCTCAACCGATCCTCCCTCCTTGGCCTCCTACAGTGCTAGGATTACATGTATTAGCCACCACACTCAGCCTGGAATTATCTTGCTCATTTATTGTCTCATTTGTTGTCTTTCTCCCCCACCAGAAAATAACTTCCCCAAGAACTGGGACTTGCCCAGTTCCTGGCTCCTGGCAGGTGCTCAAAAAATAATTGTTGAATGGATTCATTCATCTTCCTAAAACGCAGATCTGCAAACAATTATGGAGCCCTCACAGGAATGTGGACAATTGTTTGTGATGAAATTTGAAGTTAAAAAAAGAGTAGAAAAATGATACCCTCTGATATTGTACTTATAAAATATATTCATGCAGGGACAAAGCAGGAAATGGAAAATAGTTAATTTGTTGGGAAGCATAGGAGTATGGGTGACTGGTATTTTTCAAACTTTTACTTAATATGGTTACCGTTGTCTTTTAATAACAGTTTTATTGAGATGTAATTCATCCACTATAAAGGTCACCCTCTTTTAAAGCATACAATGCAGTGGTTTTTAATATATTCTCAACGTTGTGCACAGGGCCCTAATTTCAGAACATTTTTATCACCCCCCAAAAAAACCGTATACCCATTAGCCGAAACTCCCACTCCCCTACCCTCCTATCCAGCCCATGCAACCACTAATTACTTCCAGTCTCCACGCTTCGCCTACTCTGGGCATTTCGTATAAGTGAAATCATACAATATACGGTCTACCATGACTGGCTTCTTTCACTTATCCAGATGTTTTCAAGGATCATCCAGGTTGTAGAATGTCTCATACTTCATTTTTTTTATGGCTGAATAACATTCCATTGCAGAATATCCAATGTGGATATACCACATTTTATGTATCTATTCATCTATTGATGAACACTTGAGTTGTTTCAGTTATACTATTTTTACCAAAAAAATAAAGAAGTGAAGTGGAACCTTTTCCCTCATTGCTCTACAAATATATTCTGGTCATTCCTCTGGCTCCCAAATCCTGGAGTCCTCTCAATGCTTACAAGATACCGTCCAGCCTTCTTTGCTTACATTGTTGGTCCCTGGCTATCTTTCCAGCAAATTCTTCAGTTGCTTTCTCTGAGCCCGTGTGTGCTCTGGTGACATGCTAGCCACACACCTTCAGCTACTATGCCCTTGCCAATGCCATCTTCTCTTCTGCTTCCTGGAAAAAGTCGTCTGCACACTGCAAAATTCAGCACAGAGGCCAAGCGTGGTGGCTCACACTTGTAATCCCAGCACTTTGGGAGGCCGAGGTGGGCAGATCACTTAAGGCCAGGAGTTCGAGACCAGCCTAGCCAACATGGTGAAACCTCGTCTCTACTAAAAATAAAAAATATTAGCTGGGCGTGGTGATGCTTACCTGTAGTCCCAGCTGTTCAGGAGGCTGAAGCAGGAGAATTGCTTGAACCAGGGAGGTTGCAGTGAGCCAAGATCACGCCACTGCACTCAACCTGGATGATAGAGGGAGACTCTGTCTCGAAACAAAAAACAACATAAAACAAAATTCAACTCAGATGTTCCTTTCTTTGTGAAGACTTCCCTCCTCCTGGTTCTCTGTTTACAACTCTCTCGGCTCCTAAAGGACTCATTATTGTGTTTATTCCCCTGCCTGTTTGCTGCCTTAGCCTATGATAGGAGTACCCTTAGGGTGTCATTCATCTTTGTCTCCTTCGAAGCTAACGTAGTCCCTGGCACCGATCAGGTACTCACTGAAGTCAGATGACTGCATGTATGAATGGAGCTGCTTCTCTGATGGACTGAATAGGAACCCAACAATACCACCTTTTGGCAAAAAAGACATTAAAATGTCAAGGTTAAAGTGTGGATTTAGGAGTCGGATGGACATAGTTTGAACCCCAACTCTGCTGCTTGCCAGTTTGGGTGGCTGCTTGGGAATCATTTCCTCATCTTTAAATTGGACATAATGTCTTCCACCTGATGGAGTTCTTGGAGGATTAAATACAGGTGAAACACCTAGCACAGAGTATTAGGTTGGTGCAAAAGTAATTGCGGTTTTTGCCATTTAAAAGTAATAATTGGGCCAGGTGCGGTGGCTCATGCCTGTAATCCCAGCACTTTGGGAGGCTGAGGTCGGTGGATTGCCTGAGCTCCGGAGTTCAAGACCAGCCTGGCCAACATGGTGAAACCCTGTCTCTACTAAAAATACAAAAAATTTGCCGGGCGTGATGGCGCACGCCTGTAGTCCCAGCTACTAGGGAGGCTGAGGCAGGAGAATTACTTGAACCTGGGAAGTGGAGGTTGCAGTGAGTCGAGATCACACCACCAGACTCCATCCTGGGTGACAGAGCAAGACGCCATCAAAAAAAAAAAAAAAAGTAATAATTGGGCCAGGCATGGTGGCTGACACCTGTAATTCCAGCATTTTGGGAGGCCAAGGTAGGTGGATCACTTGAGGTCAGGAATTCAAGACCAGCCTGGCCAACATGGCAAAACCCTATCTTTACCAAAAATACAAAAATTAGCCAGATGTGGTGTTGGGTGCCTGTACTCCCAGCCGTTTAGGAGGCTGAGGCAGGAGGATTGCTTGAACCCAGGAAGCAGAGGTCGCAGTGAGCCAAGATCGCACCACTGCACTCCAGCCTAGGTGACAGAGTGAGACCATGTCTCAAAAAAAACAAAAACAAAAACAAAAATCATAAGTAATAACTGTTCAGTAAGTGATTGTTCTTTTTAAAAATCATGGTGTATGCCAGGCAAGATGGCACATAACTATTGTCCCAGCTACTCAGGAGGCTGAGGCAGAAATATAGCTTGAGCTCAAGACTTTGAGTTTAGCCTGGGCAATATAGAGGGACTGTCTCTTAATAAATAAAAGGTATAAAATACCTCATAAAATTTACATTTTAACCATTTTAAGTGTATAGTTCAAGTGGTTTTTCATACATTCAAATTGTTGTGTCCATAAGTATTTTTATCAATACTGCTATATTATGTCACAAGTCTTTTTTTGTTTGTTTGTTTTTCAAAAGAGGGTCTCACTTTTTCACCCAAGCTGGAGTGCAGTAGCATGATCATAGCTCACTGCAGCCTCAAACTCCTGGGATCAAGTGATCCTCCTGTTTCAGCCTCCCAAGTAGCCAGGAATACAGGTGTTCACCACCATGCCCAGCTAATTTTATTTTTTTGTAATTTTTTGTAGAGATGGGTTCTTGCTATGTTGCCCAGGCTTGTCTTGAACTCCTTGCTTCAAACCATCCTCCCACCTCAGCCTCCCAAAGGGCTGGGATTACAGGCTTGAGCCACCACACCCAGCTAATTTTATTTTTTGTATTTTTTTTTTTTTTGGTAGAGAATGGGTCTTGCTATATTGCCCAGGCTGGTTCTGAACTCCTTGCTTCAAACCATCCTCCCACCTCAGCTTCCCAAATTGTTGTGATTACAGGTGTGAGCCACCATGCCTGGCCTGTGTCAAATGTCTTAATAGTGTGGATTTTGCTAGAGACAGGACATGCTATTCTGAACCGGTCATGGACTTGCCTAGGTCTCTGCTTTCTCTAGTTCATTTCATCCTCTCAAGAATCCTGGGAGGTTTTCTCATTTCCATTTCTATTGGAGAGCTCTAACGATGTGCCCGAGGGCACTTGGCAGCAAGTGGCAGAGCTGAGACCAGCCCCCAGACCCACGGATCTGTCCACTACCTATCAATAACCACTTGCTGAATTGTGATGAACCCAGTCTGACCAAATCGCTTCTCTGAGGTTCTGACTTTGACACTGGGAGGGGCGTAGCTAAAATGAGAAAAGAGGCAGCCCCATTCCAGGACAGGTGAATGACATGGGAGCTCTGGCATCCTCAGCCCAGACAGCAGCACAGGGCAGGGGCTGAGAGAGCCTTGTCGAGCTGCTGATGTCTTTATGCAGCCAGGACTGACTCCACGGTAGCAGGCCCAGCATGCATCACCCCTGTGACAAATGATAAAGATCTCATTCGGCATACGAGATCCACTTGAGGAACTGAATGGAGACAATTGAAAAGCGCTCCACACCGGCCACTGAAGCTGAAGCCCGCAGAGCCGGATGATGTAAGGTCTTCTGTGTGGATTTGCTGATTCTGGAGATTTTAACTATTTGGGCTTTATTAGTCTCTGGGCCTCCTCGTGGGGAACTGAAGTGCTGGAACTCGGGGAAGACCTGACTTGTCAAGTCCATAGTATCAGAGCATTCAGACAGGCTGAGTGTCTGATTTCGGCCAATCAAGTTTCATTTTGAAGACTAACTATGATGGATTACGATGGCTTTCTAATTCCTCACTGCCTCCCTGGGAAACTTTTTTTTTTTTTTTTTTTTTTTTTGAGATGGACTTTCACTCTGTCCCCGAAGCTGGAGTGCGGTGGCACGATCTTGGCTCACTGCAACCTCTGCAGTTCAAGCGATTGTCCTGCCTCAGCCTCCCCAGTCACTGGGATTACAGGCATGCACCACCACGCTTGGATAATTCTTGTATTTTTGGTAGAGATGGGATTTTGCCATGTTGGCCAGGCTGGTCTCGAACTCCTGACCTTAGATGATCCACCCGCCTCAGCCTCCCAGAATGCTGGGATTGTAGGCGTGAGCCACCACGCCTCCTGGGAAACTCCTAAAGGGGCCCCTCTTCCGTATTTCCTTGTCCACAGGAACAAATATTTGCCCTTGCAATTAGATCCCTCCTACTGCCACCATTGCTGTATTTCAGCAATTCATGAGAGCCTGACAAATGCTAGTTAACCAGCTTACTGCAGTACAACTGACCCCTTGAGCGTGTGAGTGAATGTGACAAGTGGCTGGTGACATGCTCAAGTCACTCATTTGTGTCGCCAAGTTTAGCCATTTGACTGTGTGCTTCTAAGTTAAAGAGTGTCACCTCAGGTGATTCCAGTTCAAAGCGCCTTGGGAAACAATCATGAAATTAGCTGATAAATGTGATAGTCATGGTGTACACAGGGCGTGGGACGCTGGATAAAACCTAAAGAGACCTGACCCACTGCCCTCTAGGTGCTTAGCCTCTGACCACACCAAGCTAGCGACATTCCAATCTCTCATAAAAAGCATTTCAAAATGAAAGAGACTGGGCAAATAAATCGTGGTACATGCACGGAATGCGATGGCCTTCAGGCATTGAAAAGAAAGAAGTACGTTTCCCATACTACGGGGATTTGCTCACCTAACTTCCCACCTGTACACTTCTTTTTTTTTTTTTTTTTTTGAGACAGAGTCTCACTCTGTTGCCCAGGCTGGAGTGCACTGAATGGATCTCAGCTCACTGCAGCCTCCACCTCCTGGGCTCAAGCGACTCTCCTGCCTCAGCCTCCCAAGTAGCTGGGATTACAGGCACACGCCACCAAGGCCAACTAATTTTTATATTTTTAGTAGAGACGGGGTTTCACCATGTTGACCAGGCTGATCTTGAACTCCTGACCTCAAGTGATCTGCCCGCCTGGACCTCCCAAAATGCTGGGATTACAGGCGTGAGCCACCTCGCCCAGCCCCACCTGTATACTTTTGCATATGCTGTTCCCTCCATCTGAACACTTTTCCATCTGTCTCAATCCCCAAGAACATGCATTTGGCATACAGTAGATGTTTAACAGATGAGCCAGCTCTCACAGCTTTTCCCTCCTCAGGGGTTCACAAAGCAGGCCAGTTATCCTATGCCCAAGGGATGGGTCTGTGGTTTATGGGGTCAGCTGGGAGTAGGAAGAGAGATTGATCTGGGCATATTTGAAAGAAGAGATCCGCAGTGTATAGTTAAGTGAAAAAAGTAGGTTACAAGCAGTGTATATCTTATGACCCACTTTTTGGTAAAAAGAAAATCCCTTATTTACATGTTTGTTTATGCATAAAAACGTCTGGCAGGGTCCACACCACATTAACGTTGATTACCTCTAGGGATGGTGGAGTTGAAGCATGAAGAGAGAAACTTTTGGCTTTCTATTTTCTACTTTCTAAAGTGTTTTTTTTCTTATTTTTAACAATGGGCATTGTATTAATTTTGTAATTAAAAATCTAATAAAGATTTTTTAATGTGCTTGGGGGAATAGAATAGCTATACTTCCAAAATATTTGCAGTTGGACTTTGTTGCAGATGTACCAAGCTGCTCTGTTAGTTATCATGTTGGGTGTGTGTATTTTATTTTATTCTTTTAAGAGATGAGGTCTTGCTCTGTTGCCCAGGCTGGAATGCAGTGGAGTGATCATAGCTCACTGCAGCCTTGACCTCCTGGGGTCAAGCAATCCTCCCGCCTCAGCCTGCCGACTAGCTGGGACTATAGGGACACACCACCACGCTTGGCAATTTTAACCATACCTGGCCATTTTAACCTTGTCCAGCTAATTTTTTTTTTTAATGTAGTGGCAGGGTCTGTGTTTTATTCTTTCGACCAGACTGTGGACTCCACAAGGGCAGGAACTGGGTCTAATGACGATATCAATAACACTAGCCCCAACACTAACTCCACGATTTGCTGAATGCTAAACATGCTGCATGCATCTCTGAGTATAATTTCACTTGCCTGTAAGTCTTCAGATACCCTATGATGCTCTGGACAGCCATAAGGACATAAATGTGAAGATTTTTTATTGAAAAGTGCAACTGGCAATGCTCTAGAGAAATAGATACAATTGCAACTCTCTCATTCAACCACGAAAGCTTTTCTCCACGAACAGGACTTTAACATGTCCCACCTAAGGGAAGAAGACAGTAGGATTAATGCAGAGGGCAGGTTCCACCTCCCAACCAATTTGGAACTCTAAAGGGCTGAGTTCGGAACACACTTGGTCATGTTTCCCGAAGTGTGTACTGTCATGCCTGCCTGCACAGTGTTCTATGAAAGCATTCCATGCATAATTCTATTTGGAAAATGCTTTTTGCTACTGATCCTCTTGGAGATTCCCATGCCTGTGAACACATTAAAGGCTCTGAAAAGTCCTGCTGTAAAGAAGCAGGTTTGACTTGGTTGATCCCTCCCAAATTTCCCCAGTTCATTTGTTCACAGAGCCTATGATCTCATGAACAATTCTGAACATGTTCCTGTAATATGCATTGGAAAATGCTGCCCTGGAATGTTCTCAGCCAGCTGCCACCAAGAAATGTCTGATTCCATTTGGAGACAGATCAGGCTTGAAATTGTCAGAAACTGATATTCCAAGTTTCCTTCACTCTGGTTGTATCCAAAAGATGACAAAGATGGGTTTGTAGCATGGATGGAAGCAGCACATCCTATTTCCCAACTGCTGAGAGAACACACCACGCTAATCCTTGGTGCTTTCCGAAAGAGATGATGTCATCACTGTTTAGCACCATGTGCAAAGTGCCAGGAAAATAACATGGGATCTGGGGTCAGACATACCTGAGTTCAGATACCAGTTCTACCATGGACTCACTGTGTGACCTTGGGTAGGTCACTGTACCTCTCTGAGCCTTAAAAATGGGAATTAAAGGCCGGGCTTGGTGGCTCATGCCTGTAATCCCAGCACTTTGGGAGACAGAGGTGGGCAGCTCACTTGAGACCAGGAGTTTGAGACTGGCCTGGCCAACATGGTGAAACCCCGTCTCTACTAAAAAATTAAAAAAATTAGCCTGGCATGGTGGTGCAGCCTGTAGTCCCAGCTACTCCGGAGGCTGAGACAGGAGAATCGCTTGAACCCCGGTGGCGGAGGTTGCAGTGAGCTGAGATGGCGCCACTGCACTCCAGCCTGGCAACAGAGCAAGCCTCTGTCTCAAAAAAAAAAAAAAAAAAAAAAAAAAAAAAAAAGAGGGGGATTAAAATGCCTCCCTTGAAGACTTGTTTGAGGAGCGGACATACTATACAGGGGATGCTTGAGGAGAGTTGCTACAGTATTCCTTCCAAGTTATTTACTCCTACTGAGGTAGGAGGCGGAATTCGACTCCAGAGGTGGGGTTGGGACACGGGAACAGACTGAGGACTAGTTAAAGCAGGGCCGGCAAAAGCAGCTTTCTATCAGACGCGCCCACCGGTGTGCCACGTCAATTTACCATTGCCATGGCAACACCTGGGCGTTACCGCCCCTTTCCATGGCAACGACCCAATGATTACTACCCCTTCCCGAGAAGTTTCTGCATGAACCGCCCCTTAATCTGCATGCAATTTAAAGTAGGTATAAATACGACTGCAAAACTGCCCTGAGCTGCTACTCTCTGTCTATGGGGTAGCCCTGCTCTGCGGGAGCGGTCACGGAGCTGTAACACGGCCTCTTCAATAAAGCCGTTTTCCTTCTACCTCTGGCTTGCCCTTGAATTCTTTCCTGGGCAAAGCCAAGAACCCAGGCGCTAAGCTGCACTTTGGGGCTCGCCTGCCTGGCATCACTACTGCTGCTCGGCTCACCCACCTTGGAATGGTGGAGGTCTCTCTTTGCTTCTCTCAGTTTCTATCCCCCCAAAGACTAGGAGTGCTCTTTGGCCCAGGAAGTACGTGGTCTGTGGAGTTGTAAGACTTCCAAGGACACTACAGGGAAAGAGGGCAGATGTAAAATAAAATTCGTCTGATACAGCAAAAGTCTGAATTGTAAAATCTTGGAAAGAAATGCCATCTCAAAACTTTTCGAATTGTTAACAATAAAACCAAGGCACCATCAGTCTATGAGAATCTTGTAAGTGCTCTTAAAAGTAGATAAGAAAAAGGCCGGGTGCGGTGGCTCACGCCTGTAATCCTAGCACTTTGGGAGGCCGAGGCGGGTGGATCACGAGGTCAGGAGTTCAAGACCAGCCTGGCCAAGATGGTGAAACCCCGTCTCTATTAAAAATAAAAAAAATTAGCCGGGCGTGGTGGCACGTGCCTGTAATCCCAGCTACTCCGGAGGCTGAGGCAGAGAATTGCTTAGGAGGTTGCAGTGAGCCGAGATCGCGCCACTGCACTCCAGCCTGGGCGATAGAGCAAGACTCTGTCTCAAAAAAAAAAAAAAAAAAGTAGGTAAGAAACAAAAAAAAAAGGTCAGCTGTGGTGGTTCATGCCTGTAACCCTAGCATTTTGGGAGGGCGAGGCAGGCGGATGGCTTAAGCCCAGGAGTTCGAGTCCAGCCTGGGCAACATAGCGAAACCTCGTCCCTAATAAAAATAAATTAAAAATAGGGCCAAGCGTGGTAGTTCATGCCTGTAATCCCAGCGCTTTGGGAGGCCGAAGTGGGCAGATCACTTGAGGTCAGCAGTTCGAGACTAGCTTAGCCAACATGATGAAACCCCATCTCTACTAAAAATACAAAAATTAGCTGGGCGTGGTGGCACGTGACTGTAGTCCCAACTCGGGAGGCTGAGGCACGAGAATTGCTTGAACCCGAGAGGCGGAGGTTGCAGTGAGCTGAGATCGTCCCACTGCACTCCAGCCTGGGCGACAGAGTGAGACACTGTCTCAAAAAAATAACATAAAAATAAAACAAAAAATAATTAAAAAAAACTTTTACCTGCTTGTGGCAGAAACAGATACACGTATTACCCTTGGAGTCCCCAGCCTTGGGTTGCAACGTGAGCACCACAGTTTGCTTGCTGAGTGACCCTCAGGAAACAACTAAACGTCTGTGCTTCCAGTTCGTCACGTGTGAGATGAAAAGAGGAGTATCAAACCTCACAGGAGTCATGCTGTAAATCCCTGCAACCTGCCAGCTCAGGACCTGGCCCAGGGTCGGCACCCAACATTGCTGTTATCGCTCTCATTATTACGCACTGGGTGTTCGGTTCCTTTTCCTTTTGCCAATACTCTTTCTCCTCTTCTGTCCCACTTTATTTCCCTGTGCCACCTCCCCTACATTCTTTTTTTTTTTTTTTTCCTTTGCCATCAATAGGGAAAATCAAAATAAATCAAACCAAGCCAACGCCAAGCTCTGCAAGCTCTCAGCGGCTCCAGCGTTTTCAAGGAGCGGGGTCAAGGTCAAAGGGCCCCTCCCAGGCTGCCCGGGCGGGGCTGTAGTGGGATGCTGGTCCCCAGGCTGCGCCTCGGTTCTCCAGGGCGAAACGCAGGGGCGGGGCCGTGCAGGGGCTGGGCGTCGCCGCCGGAGAGGGTCCCAGCGCGCCCAGGCCTCCCGCAGGCGGGACGCGGCGTCGGGGGGCTGCTGCGCTGCTCGGCCCCAGCGGGCCCGCCGCGCCGCCGCGGCTCTGGCTGCCTCCTGCATGCCAATTAGGCCCTAATTTGATTTCTGTTCTATCTGTGCGAACCCCATTAAAACCCAATTCCGCTTATTACCAACAGCTTTCTTGCAACGCGACGCCTCTCCCTCCCAGGGCCGCTGCTCAGGCGCGCCGAGGAGCCAGGCTCCGCGCACCAGGCTGGCGGGGACACCTTCCCCGTTCCCCCTGCCCTGGGACGTGCAGGGTCCCCGCTGATTCCCGCCCCGGGGCTCCCCGGGTCCAGGCTGGGGCCCAGGGACTGGGGCAGGCTCCAAGTCACCAGCTTCATAAGAAGCAATGGAATCGTAGAAAACTGGAATCGAGGGTTGTTGGGAACTCAGAGGTCACCAGGTCCCCCCTCCCCACCCCCTGCAGGAATTCTGGAGACGCCTGGGCGATCATCAGTCCCCCACCCACGCTTGGGCTGTTCCCAGCGCGGGGAAGTTCCCTCCCTCCTTCCAGGAAGCCTGGCTGGGTTCAACTGTCCTCCCCTCTGCTGTATGATTTTAAGTAAAGCTCTCCACCACTCTGAGCCGCTGTCTCGTGTCCTCCTCTATAAAACAGGACCTTTAGGGAAGATAACCTTGCCTCCTAGGGCTGTTGGGAGGATAAGACACAACGAAGACCTGAAAGAGTGGTACAGGGTGAACACCCGACAGCTATGGGGCCTGACTCCTGGCTCACCCCTGTAGTCCCAACACTTTGGGAGGCTGAGGTGGGAGGATTGCTTGAGACCAGGAGTTCAAGACCATCCTGGACAATATAGTGAGACTCTCTCTCTCTACAAAAAAAATTAATAATAATAAAATAAAATAAATAAAAACCGGATGGGGTGGTGCACACTTGTAGTCTTAGCTACTTGTGAGGCTGAGGCAGGAGGATCACTTGAGCCAAGGAGTTAGAGGCTGCCGTAAGCTATGATCGCAGCACTGCACTCCTGCCTGGGTGCCAGAGCCAAGACCCTGTCTCCAAAAAACACAATAGTAATAATAAATGAAATAGCTGTGAGAAGTTAATGCTGCAGAATCCATACTAGGATAAGATCAGTGAGGCACTTGCCAAGGTGCAAGATGTAACGGCAAACAAAAAATGTCCATAATCAAGATAAATAATGGCAGGAAGTGGCAGCTCACGCCTGTAATCCCAGCACTTTGGGAGGCCGAGGTAGGAGGATGGCTTGAGTCCAGGAGTTTGAGACAGCCTGGGAAACATAGTGAGACCTCATTTCTAAAAAATAAACAAATAAACAAATAAATAAATAAATAAATAAAATTTTAATACAATATTGTTAAAAACTGAAAATTACTGCCAACAAAATCAATGATGAACAAACTGAAAAAATTAAAGACAGGACTGGGGTTAGAGTGAGGCAAGTCAGGTGAAGACTTTCGTGTACAAGGTGGGATCCTGTCTTTCTTTAAAGTTTTCATGTCTTGTTCATTGTGGATATTTTGCATCAATTTGTGAGTTTTAAAATGTTGCATTAAATACTGTTTATCTTGATTACTGGGTTTTTGGTATCCCTTTAACTTTAGCAGCTGAGCCGAGGCTTCACTCTGGTCCCCGCCCTGGGTTGCCGTCACAAGAAAAACCTTCCAGAGCCTCAGTTTCTAATCTGCAAATTGGGGCTAAGCATGACTACTTATAGGGACGTTTTGAGAATTACTAAGCAGGCAGCATAATTAATAGTGTCTGCTCTAGAATCAGGGCAAGTTCAAGCCCCATCTCTGCCACTTACTAGTGGGAGGAGTCGCAACCTCTCTGTGCCTCGGTTTCCTCATCTGGACTATGTTTAGTTCCCAGAGGTTACTGGGAACTTAACTACAATAACACTCACAGTCAGTGCATGCATGACACTTAGCAAGACATCAGTTCATGTTGCCGCCATTATTATTTGCACGGATATCCTTAACCTTGACCATCCCTGGTATAGCACAGGCCCTCAATAACTAAAATTCATGGTGATATGGGGGTACTTGACATCATTTTTGCAAGGGGCCTGGCACATAGTAGGTGCTCAGTTGACTGTACGTGCTGCAAGAACAAAGACCACTTCTTTTCCTTTTCTTTTTATTTATTTATTATTTTTTTTTTTTTGAGACAGAGTCTTGCTCTGTCACTCAGGCTGGAATGCAGTGGCGTGATCCAGGCTCACTGCAACCTCTGCCTCCGGGTTCAAGTGATTCTCATGCCTCAGCCTCCCAAGGAGCTGGGATTACAGGTGCACACCACGACACCTGGCTAATTTTTGTATTTTTAGTAGAGACGGGGTTTCACCATGTTGGCCAGGCTGGGCAGAATCCACTTCTGATTTGTTCCCCATCATAGCCCCTTAATAACCTGCACATAATAGGTCTGCAGAAATATTCAGAATGAATCAATGCAATTGTTAAATAATGCAATACAGTGCACTCCATCTTTGGTTTCAGGAACGATTAGGAAAGTTTATTCTCTCAAGGACCCACCATCCTTCATCACCCTCTGTAATAATAACAATGCCAATGACCCGGGGGTGCCTCCTCTTACCCCCTGTGGAAAGGGCTTGCTCTCTGGACCTCGCTTAGGTAGCTTTGATTCTCAAAAAACCCTTCGGAATGACTCTGAAAGGTTTCATGTTTGGCCCCTTGACCTTGCAGAGAAAGGTAAAGAAGGATGATAGAAACACACTTCTACGGCACCTGCAGCCAATTCCCTGACACGCCCAAGGGCCTGAAGCCGCCCCTACAAAAATTGCCTTCATCCCATTGAAAATTACAGACATGGCTTTGGGAAGTGTGCTAAGGCTGTCCCAGTATCAGGCTTGGGCTAGCCACTTCATTAATGTACTTACCTGTCTGGCCCCTGCTGGCATTTGAGGGTTAACCTCTGGCTTATCTGGAACTGGCCTTATTTGGACCCCAGGATCTGGCCCTCCCTGCCTCCTTGCCTCCAGGCTTCAGACCCTTGACTTTCAGCAGGGCACGCATACTGTGGGGTTTTCAGACTAGTCTTGGCTTTTGGCCTTTCTTTGAGATTTGGCAGCTTGCAGAGGTGGTCCTGACCATTGTGTGTGCTGGTCTGGATCCCCCAGGTCTCTCCCTAGACCCTTTTGGGGCCGTTTGCAGGGACCAGTGATGTCTTTGAGGCTATGTTTAAGGCAGGGAGGAGTGATGTGGGTAGATGGGCCCACCCTCACTCATGTTTTTGTGCCTAAGGCTTGCAATTTCAGATGACTAGCTAGAGTTATATAGATGAAAGACACAGATTCAAAGCCAGCCCCTCAGCATTGAGGTCCAATCAGTGATGATCCTCAAAATATGTGTGTATTAGTATTAGTCAGTTCTCATGCTGCTGATAAAGACATACTTGAGACTGAGGAATTTACAAAAGAAAGAGGTTTTTTTTTTTTTTTTTTAGACAGAGTCTCGCTCTGTTGCCTAGGCTGGAGTGCAATAGTGCGATCTTGGCTCACTGCAACCTCTGCCTCCTGGGTCCAAGCAATTCCCCTGCCTTTCTCCTGCCTCAGCCTCCCGAGTAGCTGGGACTACAGGTGCATGCCACCACACCTGTCTAATATTTTGTATTTTTCAGTAGAGATGGGGTTTCACCATGTTAGCCAGGCTGGTCTCGATCTCATGACCTCGTGATCCACCTGCATCAGCCTCCTGAAGTGCTGGGATTACAGGCATGAGCCACCACACCTGGCCAAGAAAGAGGTTTAATGGACTCGCAATTCCGTATGGCTGGGGAGGCCTCATAATCACGGTGGAAGGTGAAAGGCATGTCTCACATGGTGGCAGACAAGAGAAGAGAACTTGTGCAGGGAAAATCCTCTTTATAAAACCATCAGATCTCATGAGGCTTATTCACTATCATGAGAACAGCATGGGAAAGATCCACTCCCATGATTCAATTAACTCCCACCGGGTCCCTTCCACAACACATGGGAATTGTGGGAGCTATAATTCAAGATGAGGTTTGGGTGGGGACACAGCCAAACTACATCAATGTGTCACTCAGTACAACAAGGGCATTTGATCAGTCAGAATGGATCTTGGCTACAGCACAGAAGCAGGATCCTGGAGGTCCCCTCCCTGCTGTACCAGGGCACCATTATCCTTTTAGTTGCTGAATGGTGCAGAGGTCCCTGGCGTCTTAGGAAGGGTGGTGGGGGCTGGCATAGCCAAGGTGGCAGGATGGCACTTAGGGGTTCAGGGAGGCAGCTATTTACCAAGTGCCACAGACAGAAGTATTCCACCATTGGAACTGTGTCGCTGTATCAGTGCATCCTGGTGAATGTCAGCACTACCTCTAACCACCAGGGCTGACATTACTCCTCCCCGACCAGATCCTGAGCCCCATAGGGTTGGGGCTGTGTCGTACCCCCTTCAGAGCCCAGCATAGGGCCCCCCAAAGAGCACACACACTGTACGTGTTTGTTGAAGACAGAGGGATCCAGGAGTTCTTGGACATTAATGAAAAAACCTGGGCTGATGACACTCCATGGTGATGACTGGAGCAAGTTAACGGTCTGCCTGTCTAATTATCCTGCTGACTTGCCGGCTGCCTGTTTTTTAAAACAGCTGGAAGTTTGGGGTTTTAGGATTCCACTGTATTTGTTTCAGTGTCTTCTGCAAGAAACTAGCCTGTATCATTCTGACAGCACAAGAGGGTCTGCTCCAGTGAATTTTCATATGCACTACCTGGGTCATCTTGCAACCAACGCTTTTCTTCATTCAAATAATGATCCCAGGCCAGGCGTGGTAGTGCATACCTGTAATCCCAGCACACTGGGAGGCCGAGACGGGTGGATCACTTGAGGTCAGGAGTTCTAGACCAGTCTGGCCAACATGGTGAAACCCTGTCTCTACTAAAAATACAAAAACTAGCCAGGTGTCATGGCACATGCCTGTAATCCCAGCTACGTGGGAGGCTGAGGCATGGGAATCACTTGAACCTGGGAGGCAGAGGTTACAGTGAGCCGAGATCGCACCACCACACTCCAGCCTGGGTGACAGAGTGAGACTCTGTCTCAAAAAAAGAAAAGAAAAATGATCCCTTTACAGGGTATATTCATTTCCTTAGGCTGCCATGACAAATGAACACAAACTAGGTGGCTTAAAAAAACAGACATTTATTTTGTCATAGTTCTGGGGGCCAGAAGTGCAAAGTCAAGGAGTTAGCTGGGTCATGCTCCCTGTGAAGGCTCTTGGTGAAGATCCTTCCTTGCCTCTTCCAGCCACTGGTGGCCCCAAGATGTTCCTTGGCTTGTGGCTCCTTCTCTCCAATCCCTGACTGCATCTTCACATGGGTGTGTCAAATCTCTCTCTATCTTTTTCTCATAAAAGGCACTTGTCATTGGATTTAGGGATCCAGGGTGATTGATATGGTTTGGCTCTGTGTCCCTGCAAAAATCTCATCTTAAACTATAATCCCCTTAATCCCCACGTGTTGAGGGAGGGACCTGGTGGCAGGTGATTGGGTCATAGGGGTGGTTTCCCTTATGCTGTTCTCGTGATAGTGAGTGAGTTCTGACAAGATCTGATGGTTATATAAGTGTTTGACAGTTCCTCCTTTATGTACTCTCTCTCACCTGCTGCCATGTAAGACGTGCCTGCTTCCCCTTCCACCACGATTGTAAGTTTCCCGAGGCCTCCGCAGCCACGCAGAACTGTGAGTCAATTAAACCTCTTTTCGTTATGAATTACCCAGTCTTGGGCAGTTCTTTATAGCAGTGTCACAACAGACAAATACAATGATCTCACCTCAGGATCCTTAATTATATTGCAAAGACCCTATTTCCAAAAGAGGTCACATTCACAGGTGCCAGGTGTTCAGATGTGTATGTAAGTTAGTGGCGGAGGGGGGCATTGGGTCACCATTCAACCCCATTGCACAGGGACAGAAATCTTGCATATCTTGTTGATCTCAATCCCATGCATAAGCACAGTGCTAGGCACATGAGAGGCACTCAATGAGTATATGTTGCATGGATGAAGAATCTAGACAGGGCTGTAATGGAGAGGAGATTGGTTATCATTAGCACCCTGGTCTACAACTGAGCTGCCCATTTTTCAGCCCTAGCACACTGTGTTTAAATCCCAGTGAGACTCAAGGATTAGGCACTAGAGGAGGCAGCGTGCTGACACAAGGAAGAGTTTCAGACTTGGGGTCAGAGGACTTGCATGCTAGGTTTGGTTCTTGGCTGAATTGCTGAAACTGTCCAAGCCTCAGTAGCAAAACATGGGTGTTAACTACTCCCCACAGGATTGCCATTCAAGTTAAATGATATAGCACCTAGACAGCCCCTGATCCACACTAGGTACTCAGCAAATGCTGATTATGTTGCAATTATGTCATGATTTCATTCGACTCACTTTATATTTGTTCTCAGTTTTATTTCCAGTACCTAGCTGAATCGTTGACTGGTGTGATTCCAAAAGCTTGTGTAGGCTTTCCTTTGTGTCACAAGGAAATGTACAGCACCCTATAAAAGTGGCTCATAGAACAGGTTAAATAAATCATGGTACGTCTATATGCTGGAATGCTATGCAGCCCAGATCAAACGAAAGCTCTCTCTGCACTCCTCTGAAATGGTCTCCAAAAGATATTAACAAACAGAAAGAACAAAGAGGCATAACAGCATGTAGAAGATGCTATCATTTGTTAAACAAAAGGGGATATGCACTTACATTACATGTTTTATAGCATCAAATTCTTCTGGAAGCTTATCCAAGAGGCAAGTGATGGTGGTTTCTTCTAGTGAAGGAACTCAGGGGGCCTAGAGTCAGACAGTGAAGGAGATGTATGCTCTTTTTTATCTTATTTATTTTCACTGTACACTTTCTTGCAATGCTTGAAATTTTTCCACATATACATATATTACCTATTCAAATAAAGACACGCTGAATATACATACACTAAATTTTTTTTTTGGCCAGGTGCGGTGGCTCACATCTGTAATCCCAGCACTTTGGGAGGCCAAGGCTGGTGGATCACTTGAGGCCAGGAGTTCGAGACCAGCCCACCCAATGTGGTGAAACCCTGTCTCTACTGAAAATACAAAAATTAGCCGGGCGAGGTGGTGAGCACCTGTAATCTCAGCTACTCTGGAGGCAGAAAGGCACGAGCGAGAATTGCTTGAGCCTGGGAGGCAGAGGTTGCAGTGAGCCGAGAACGTGCCACTGCACTCCAGCCTGGGTGACAGAGAGAGACCCTGTCTCAAAAAAAAAAAAAAAAAGAACAAAAAGAGAACTAGCTGTTTCTCTCTCTCTCTCTCTGTAGTGTGAGGATACAACTGGGAACTAAAGCTGGAAGATGCCAGACATTCAGCAGGGAGTTCCCTCATCAGCAGCTGGCTAACTGGGGAACTGAAAGTCACAAGGCGCTCGTTTCTGATAACTCCATGAAAATTCACTCTGGGTCAGAAATCAATCTTTGGAGTTCTGAACATGCAGCTTTTCTCATGGGCCTTTTGGAGAACAATCAGCTACTCAGCCATCAGAGCCTTTTTTGCTGGATGGCAGGCAGGAACTGACAGCAAACCATCGTCTCTACAACACGCAGAAGATCAGCACCAAGTCTCCATTCTCCGAAAACATGTGTCCATGCAGCTCTCCCAGGGGAGGTCTGCGCTGCAGTGGAAGGCCCCAGGAGCGTGGGAGCCAGCTCATCGCATGAAGGAAACACAGAGTTGTACCTCCAGGTATCTAATTTGGAGCTGAGACCTATTCCTCTTTTGGCAGAGGACACTATTTCTTTTTTTTTTTTTTTTTTTTTTTTGAGATGGAGTCTTGCTCTGTCGCCCAGGCTGGAGTGCAGTGGCGCGATCTCGGCCCACTGCAAGCTCCGCCTCCCAGGTTCACGCCATTCTCCTGCCTCAGCCTCCCAAGTAGCTGGGACTGCAGGCACCCGCCACCATGCCCGGCTAATTTTTTTGTATTTTTAGTAGAGACGGGGTTTCACCATGTTAGCCAGGATGGTTTCGATCTCCTGACCTCATGATCCGCCCACCTCAGCCTCCCAGAGTGCTGGGATTACAGGTGTGAGCCACGGCGCCCGGCCCAGGACACTAGATCTTTATCCCAGGCTTGTTCTGTGGGACAGTTTGTGAGTTCCAGCATCGGCTGGTTCGTGAGAGGCAGCACTTGATGTGCAATGTCCCCTTTTGCCTCTCCTCCCATGCTACCAAAAGCAGCTGGTTCAGTGGCCACTGCCATCTTCCCTTGTCCCTGAGCTTTGGAGATGACTGTGTTTCCTAACCTCTCCTGCAGATGCCAGGCGGAGCGGCGACGTGACGCACGGTGGACGAGGAGCCAGGATGCCCAGCTCTGCTACCAACACAGAGTGGGAATTTGCACACCTCACATGGTGTCAGTTTCCAAATGCTGCTGTAATCAATTTCCACAAAGTGGTGGCTTAGAAAAACAGACATGTATTCGCTGACAGTTCTGGAGCCCAGAAGCCTGAAACCAACGTGAGGGTTCTAGGGGAAGATCCTCATTTGCCCCCTCCCAATTTGGTAGTTCTGGGTGTTCCTTGGCTTGTGGACTCATCACTCCAATCTCTGCATCTGTCTTCACATTGCTTTCCCTGCTTCTCTGTGTGTCCATTCTCTGCATGTCTAATTTGTAAGGATATGAGTGATTGCATTTAGGGCCTACTTGGGTTATCCAGGGAGATCCCCTCATCTCAAGAAAATTGATCTAATCATGTCTGCAAAGACCCTTGATCCAGATAACATTCACAGGTTCTAGGGATTTGATTGGGATATCTTTGGGGTGAGGGGGGATATTTTTCAGCCTGCCACACCCACTTCCCTTCTTCTGGCCTCTTCCAGAAAATGATGGCCCCTCTGAGCCCCGAGTTCCCCTTCAGCTTTGAAGTTCTGCAGGTGATCCTCAGACAGCCTAGCCTGCATTGCCAAGTTCACGACAATGTTATCTCAATAGAGTACCTGATATTTTTTCAAAGCACTTTCCCATCTGTTATTTTGCTTCATGCTCCTGATCACCTCTCGGGGCACACAGGGCAATTAATATTAAACCCATTTAATTGATGAAACAACAGAGGCCCAAAAACTCCTAACTCACTTTCTCCTTGAGTTAGTCAGCTAATGGGAACCAGGAGCAGGCCAGGTGGTTTCCCAGGGCATGCTTTTTTTTTTTCTCTCTCTCTTTCATTGTATATAGCCTTTCACCACCACAGGCTTTGTTCTGGAAGCCCAGGAAGGTAGGCAAGTCAAAGCTTGTCATGTAGATCCAAGCCCACCCTGAATCCCTGATTCATATCCCCTGGAGAGTGTGGCAGGAACTTCATTTGCACTCCCTGTGGTCCCAGGTGGCAGGTAAGCTCTCAGTCTCTGGCTGTATACTGTTAGAGACCTCTTCTTCCCGTGGGTAGCTTCCCAAGCAAGGGGGTTTTCCCAAACCTCAAGAACTGCAGGACTATCAGACATTAGCAGAATTAGATCTGCCTGGCCTCCGGGCCAAAAAAAGATTTCAATTGTTTCAGGACAGATTAAATTCAGGACTGGGAATAGGGCAGGGGAGGTCTTTTTTCGCAGTCCCACCTGCCTGTGACTTGCAGATCTGGACGAAGAATTTCCTGTCCTAACTAGGCCTCAGTTTCCCTGAAATAACATCGATTAGGTGGGAGTGGGTGTGGGTCAGTAGGATTTCCTCTTACCCCCAGCCCTTTTCAATCTAATTCAGAAATGAGGATGAAGCCAAGTGTTTGGAGTTCTTGCGAAGAAAGATACAACAGCCACACAAGGTATTATTAACTTTATTACTTGTCAGGAAGAGGTGGGGGAAGCAGTTAAGATTCGGCTAGATGAGAGGTGAGTGTACTGCATTACAATCTCTGGAGGGTGTGGTGGGCATATGAGCTGGAAAGGACCATTATTTATTTACTACTTTTGTTAAGTGCCTGTAATGTGCTGGGTGCTATGCTGGATGTGTGTGTAACACAGACACATAAACCATTCAGGGTCAACCTTGCGTGGGTGGGAGGAGGTTAAAAGCACTTGCATCTTCTTCTCCCTGAAAACAGAAACATCTTCCTCCTTGGCCTACCATGGTGCCAGCAATCTCCAGCATTAGCGATGGCTCCTTGGGGGTAACCTGCAGAAGCTTCTTAACTGGGTTAAGGCATCTTATTACCTTGCAGGAGTAAGGCAATCGCCAGCTCACTGATAGTACACAATGATTTCGCTCATTCCATCCACTCTTGGCCATTGGTGCAGCAGGAAGGGCCTTGGGGTCCTCCAATTTGGACAGTGGGGAGGACTTGGCCCTGGGCTGACAGATTGCTGCTTGGCAGGTTTATGGGAGCCAGGCGTCAGCATGGTGTGACGTGGGGAGGCAAGAGTCAATGCCAATGCAGGCAGCCCCCTCCCACCAAGCAAAGCGGCTTACAGACTTCGGAGAGGAAACAAAACATCTACATGCAAATGTTGAACCAGATTTCAGAGCAAGAGAGCAACTTCAAGAGCCAAGGCAGTTCCAACTACCAGGTGTTTAATACCTTTTCAGCTTGGGTGGATCATGGATCTCTTTGAGAAACTGAGGAGACAGTCTTGGATTCTCTCTCTGTCTCTCTCTCTCTCCCCCACCTCCCCCTCTCTTGCACCTTCTTCTCCCTGCAAACAAAATCAGAGTCCTGCTCTGTCACCCAGGCTGGAGTGCAGTGGTGCCACCTTGGCTGACTGCTAGCCTTGAACTCCTAGGCTCAAGTGATCCTCCTGCCTCAGCCTCCCAAAGTGTTAGAATTACATGCGTGAGCCCCCACACCTGGCCTGGATCCTCTCTTTTGTAGAAAATGCACTTGCATAGCAAACACACACACACATACACACCTCTCACTTTTTTAATGAAATGTCAGGGTGTCTGCTGATGCCTGAAGCACATCCGAGGGCCGCAGTGAGATATTCTTCTTTGGAAGTGCTCAACAACCCTGGGAGGTAGGTGTGGCAGGGTCTCTTTTCATACACCATAAAACAGAGACCCAGAGGCAGCTCGCAACTTGCTCAGGTCATGTATTAGTGAGCATCAGAGGCAGGCCAGGACCCCCAATTGCACAGGTCTAGGAAGCACCATTTCATCCAAGTCTATGTTGCATGCCAAAGAGTGTCACTGACAGAGAACACAGTGAGACCACTGCTACCGCCCTGGAGTTAGGCAGTGCAGCAGCTCTAGAGGACCTCAGCCAGGGTCTTCTGATAACCATTTACAGGCATATATGCAAAAAGCCCCACGGGGTGACAGAGGTAAGGAGTCCTGGAGGGGGATCAGAGAGGGATGCAATTGCCGAAGACTTGGATGCCTAAGCTTGCAAATGGAAGACTATTTCTAAATCATTTATTCATTCCACAGCTTCATAGGTGGAGGTGATTCATAGGTGGTTCCTATGTGAATTTCAGTTCCCCTTCCCCCCGACCTAGAGTAAAATCCACACTCTTATTTATTTATTTATTTATTTTGAGATGGAGTTTCACTCTGTTGCCCAGGCTGGAGTACAGTGGCATCTCGGCTCCCTGCCACGTCTGCCTCCCAGGTTCAAGCAATTCTCCTGCCTCAGCCTCCCAAGTACCTGGGATTACAGGTCACCACCACCGCGCCAAGCTAATTTTTTGATTTATACTAGAGACGGGGTTTCACCAAGTTGGCCAGGATGGTCTCGAACTCCTGACCTCAAGTGATCTGTCCACCTCGGCCTCCCAAAGCGCTGGGATTACAGGCATGAGCCACCGCACCTGGCCAAAATCCACACTCTTCATAGCGATCTCTGTGGCTCAGCAGGGACCCCTCCATGCCTCTCTGTCTCTCCTCTCTCTTGCCACTGCCTTTCTTGTTCATTACACTCCAGCAACCCTGACCTTCTGTCAGTTCCTAGCGCTTGCCAAGCTTTCCCCTCCCCAGGGCCTTTGCACTTGCTGTTCCTCCTGCCTTGGAAGATTCTAGCCCTGGCTGTTCCCAGGGCTGGCTCCGTCTCATCCTTCAGCTCTCATCTTGAATGTCACTTTCTCAGAGAGATCTTCTTTGACTTTATCTAAGAATATCCCTCCACTATTCTCTAGCCATCTGTTTCTTTTTAGCACGTATAACAATCTGTAACTGTTTTATGTCTTAATTTGCTTATGTATTTATTATCTATCTCTCCCTTGATCATAGAAAACATGGTAAAGATTGTAGCTACGGTGTCCTGTTCACCATTCTATCCCTAGCCCCTAGCACGTATTAAGGGTTCAATAATTGCAGACTGAATGACTGAAAGGCATGTTTGGAAGCAGAAGTATTCCTCGGCCACCACTTTATCTTACTTAGTGCAGTAATGCAATCAACATTTGGCTCCTGCTGTGATGCTACCCTGATCTCGGGCTGGTGAAAGCGTGACTCTCCAAGATGAGCCATCCAAGAAACCACATAGAAAAGATCAAGGTCCCATAACTTCAGCTTGGGGAAGCAAGAACAAATGTGGCATTCCTCACTTAAGAAAGAAGAGGCTGTGATGCTTGCTAAAAAAAAAAAAAACTTGTCAACTGGATCCATCATCAAAGGAAACTGCCCCATGGACAGTTTTATGACGTAGTCTGAAGCACAGGAAATGGGCGGCACGGGAGCATCGGGGGACTTTTAGAAGTTGTATTGCTTTCTTAAGAAAATGCTGCTGGCTTCTGGAACTGCAGTTTAATTAAATTCAGTTGGCTGGATACCTTCAAAGGCTGTTCCAGGTCTTCACCAGCCCTCACAGACGCAGGCATCTTCCGAGCAAATGTGTGAGCGAGAGAGCGGTGAAGCAGTCTCTGGCAAGACAAGGCAGGCATTCTCCAATCCTGGATCATCACACCCTGGCATGCGGCAGGGCAGGTGGCCAAGGACCTGAGCGTCCAGATCTTCCTCCACCCACCCCGCCCGGTCTCCATGTGTGACAATGGAGGGGAGACAATGCTGTCTTCATAGAGGTAGTGCAGAGATCAGGGCTATCAGAGGGGCCTGCAAAGGTGCACACAGACCCACTTTGGTCAATTTGTCAGCGGTGAAATCCGATGCAGGTTCTCCCAGGGTGACTCGCTGCCACCCCAGGGATGGAGTCTGCAGGTTTCTAGGGGCTGGTCCCCCAGGGAAGGAAGGTCTGAGGGCCACAGGAGCATTTTGGGAACTTGAGCTCTTCCAAACCAGTCTGTAACACAGAAGACGCTAGAAAGAACACTAACTGGGTCAGAGATGCAGTCCAGACACCATGGGGCATTCTGATTATCTTGATAAGATGTGAGCTCAAACATAGACCCTGTCAGATGAAATGTCTCAGAAAAGGCAATTTTCTGTTCAATCTAACTTTTAATTTAAAAAATAATAATAACAGGCAGGGCATGGT
Source organism: Homo sapiens (assembly GCF_000001405.40). Lineage (NCBI taxonomy): Eukaryota > Metazoa > Chordata > Mammalia > Primates > Hominidae > Homo > Homo sapiens. The sequence goes on from NC_000012.12 coordinate 116,521,922, forward strand.
GCTTCACACCTGTGATCCCAGCACTTTGGGAGGCTGAGGTGGGAGGATCACCTGAGGTCAGGAGTTTGAGACCAGCCTGGCCAACATGGTGAAACCTTACCTCTACTAAAAATACAAAAAAAATAGCCAGGTATGGTGGCGCATGCCTGTAATCCCAGCTACTCGAGAGGCTGAGGCAGGAGAATTGCCTGAACCCAGGAGGTGGAGGTTGCAGTGAGCCAACATTGCACCACTGCACTCCAGCCTGGGCAACGGAGTGAGACTCCATCTCAAAAATAAAAATAAAAATAAAAAATAATAATAACAAGCAAAAATCTCACCCCCATTTCCCCACTTCCCAAAGAACTGAGAAAATAGCCTCTGGTCTCCAGGAAGACAAAACCAAACGCAAGTCCACCATCAGACTGAGCTGACCTTGGCTGTGCACCCGTGCAGAGCCCAGGACTATGCTAGGCGAGTTCACACCCTTGATCTCATTTGATTGTGTCGACAATGTTGAGAAAGAGATTTTGTTAAGCCCATCTTCCAGATGAGGAAATCGAGGCATGCCAAGGTAATTGTCACTCTCTCAAGATCACTCAGCTTGTAAGTAGCCAGAAGTATAAATTGAGATGATTTGAGATGCATTTGGCATTACTTTTTGGCAACATACTGCTATTGATTGTTGGCAGTTTGGGGTACTATGGATACAAGAGTTTTTTTTAAAAAATGCAGTCCCTGTCTTGAAAGAGCTCACTCTTTCTTTGACTTTTTTTGTTTGTTTGTTTTGTTTTTGTTGAGACAGGGTTTTGCTCTGTCCCCCAGGCTGGAATGCAGTGGCATGATCTCAGCTCACTGCAGCCTCCACTTCCCGGGCTCAAGCGATCCTCCCACCTCAGCTTCCCGAGTACCTGGGACTACAGGCATGCACCACCATGTCCAGCTAATGTTTGTACTTTTTGTAGAGACGGGATCTTGTCACGTTGCCCAGGCTGGTTTCAAACTCCTGGGCTCAAGTAATCCACCTGCCTCAGCCTCCCAAAGTGCTGGGATTACAGGTGTGAGCCACCGCACATGGCCTGTTTGACATTTATGATTGCATTTTACATATTGATGAATACATTTGTCTTGTTCCCTAATTTTGCTGCAAACTTCCAGAGTAGAGGCCTAGCCGGGCGCGGTGGCTCACGCCTGTAATTCTAGCACTTTGGGAGGCCGAGGTGGGTGGATCACGAGGTCAGGGGTTCAAGACCAGCCTGGCCAACATAGTGAAATCCTGTCTCCACTAAAAACACAAAACATTAGCTGGGTGTGGCAGCAGGCGCCTGTAATCCCAGCTACTTGGGAGGCTGAGGCAGGAGAACTGCTTGAACCCAGGAGGCAGAGGTTGCAGTGAGCAGAGATTGCACCACTGCACTCCACCCTGGGCAACAGTGTGAGACTCCGTCTCAAAAACAAAACAAAACAAAAAACAGAGTAGAGGCCTCACCTCAAAGTTTCCCAGGTACAGACCATAAATCCCTTGGGCAATTTGATAGAACTTTTTAGAATCGTGCTTTTCTTTCTTCTTTTCTTTTCTCCTCTCCTTCCTTTTTTTTTTCTTTTTTTTTTTTTGACAAAGTCTTGCTCTGTCTCCCAGGCTGGAGCGCGATGGTGTGATTTTGGCTCACTGCAACCTCCGTCTCCCAGGTTCAAGTGATTCTCCTGCCTCAGCCTCCTGGGTAGCTGGGATTACAGGCATGTGCCACCATGCCCAGCTAATTTTTGTATTTTTAGTAGTGGCAGGGGTTTCACCATGTTGGCCAGGCTGGTGTCGAACTCCTGACCTGATTGCCAAGGAAATCACTTAGACGGTAATAACGATACTGAAATATTAAAAACCAACGTTGTAAAATAGTAACAGGTAAGCTTATTTATTATCCACTAAGTAGCAAGATCTAACCCTGGTCTATCTACTACTGTAACTTCCAAGGAGTAAGGAGCACAACAATATTTTGATATATCTGCAGCAATTGATGGTGATACACACACATCTGTGATTTGTATGGGTGCCAAAGTCACAGGTACTGCTGATACCACGGCAGTTTGTCACTTACATTCCTAATAGAAGACAATGTTGCCATTTGATCAGAAGTTAGTGCAAAGCCAGGCACGGTGGCTCATGTCTGTAATCCCAGCACTTTGGGAAGCTGAGATGGGTGGATCACCTGAGGTCAGGACTTCGAGACCAGCCTGGCCAACATGATGAAACCCCATCTCTACTAAAAATACAAAAATTAGCCAGGTGTGGTAGCACGCACCTGTAATCCCAGCTACTTGGGAGGCTGAGGCAGGAGAATCACTTGAACCTGGGAGGTGGAGGTTGCAATGAGCTGAGATCGTGCCATTGCACTCTGGCCTGGGCAAAGAGTGAAACTGTCTCAAAAAAAAAAAAAAAAAAAGAGAAGTTAGTGCAAATAAAGATGTCATTTTTTTCCCGGGTTAAATTTATGGACCCCTGAATTCTACCTGTGCAAGGGTCCGAGGACTTCATGTTAGGGCTCCTGTTCATCGAGTGGCATTTCGCCCCAGTGTGCCCTTCTTACTAGCACCGAGGGCTGCTGAGCATCTCAGTAACCGAGCTGGGAAGGACGCGCCTTGGGTCTTAAATTTTCCATGATTGAGTGAATGGCTGCTCAGTTTTTCCATGTCATTGGGGAGGTTACGGGTATATGTCAAATTCCTGGTGGTGGCATTTGGGAATTGAGCCGTAAATGAAGGCTGGAGGGCAGAGTGGTCAAGGGCATATCACAGAGTCACAGGAGACCTAACTTCACATTCGGAACCCCCTGGCTATTTAGCTGTGTGTCCTTGGGCAGGTTAGGAATGGGTCAGGTCTCAGCTCTGTCACCTGTGCAATGGGGCTGAAGACCCTGCTCCTGGGTTTGCTGTGAGGACTCTGCGAGATAAGAGATGGAACATGTGGATACACCATTGGCATATGATGAGCACTCAACGTAAGGCGACTATTTGGCAACACCCCTTACTTCATTGTTTTATCTAGTACCTCTCTCCAAAGCTCGTGGAGTGCAACAGACAGCATTTGAGTTAGACCTTTGCAGATCGCTGCTGCTTTGTTCTCACTTGCAATCAGCTCACAGCTGGTAGCGTCCCCTCATGGGAGCTCTCAGAAAATTTGTCTCTTGCTCCCCATCCCCGGCCCCAACTTGAGTCATGCCCCAGGAATTTGGGAGAGGGCACCTTCAGCCAGTGGTGTGGCGATTTTTCCTTTCTTTCTCTTTCTCTCTTTTCTTTCTTCCTTCCTTCTCTTTTGTTCTTTTTCTCTCTTTCCTTCCCTTCCTTCCTCCCTCCCTCTTTCTTTCCTTCTTCCTTTTCTTTCTCTCTTTCTTTCTTTTCTTTTTCTTTCTTTCTCCTTCCATCCTTCTCTCTCCTTTCTCCCTTTCTTTTCCTTCCTTCTTTCCCTCCCTTCCTCTCTTTCTTTCCCTCCCTCCCTCAGTCCCTCCCCTCTATCCCTTCCCTCTTTCCCTCCCTCCCTCCCTCTCTTCCTTCCTTCCTTCCTTCTCTCTTTTTCTTTTCTTCTTTTCTCCCTTCCTTTCTTTCACCTTCTTTTTGTAATTGTGCCGAGTTGCTGAGTGAATCATTAAGGGAGCGAATTCCAAGTGCATGAGCGTCTCTGTGTTTCCCGGGACGGGTTTGGGCCAAGACAAACCTCTGTGATGCCAACAGCAGTTGCTTGAACAGTGGAGCTCAGAGCTGGCTTCCCGGCGCCGCTTGCAGGGGCTCTGTTTGAACTTTCTCCTCTCTCTTTCTACCTGGTGATTAAAGGAGCCACATGTAACTTTCTGCTTAGTCCTCTTTCTCCTTCTTTCCCGGTGCACACCCTGGGAAAGGCTCTGCGAAGTCCCACAGTGTTTCTTTAGGAGACTGGGCGGCCCCTTGATTTATGTTCACTTGGCAACGTAAAATTGAAATGGCCTGAGGACGCTGAATAACTGGAAAAGGGAGATGGAGAGGAGGCCTCTGGGTGTCTGATTCCATGTAGCTCATGCCTGGCCCTTCCCCCGTAGACCAGAGCCACGGACCTTGGAGTCCATGGGCAAAAGGAAAAGCAAATGAGGTGGCTGGAGTTGGAAAAAGAAGTCCAAAATTGTTCAGAGAAACTAGCATCATCTGTTTTTTCTGGGAGCCTGACGACTTTGTATTTTTTCCTCCTTCTTCCTTTCTCCTTCTCTGTCTTTTCTCTAGGGATCGCCTACCCATTTTGGATTTAATGCATAACCCATGGGGAAAAAGCAGAAATTTTAATCCCCAATCCGGCCCATGGTAGGGGCTCCATAAATGTTAGTTGAGTTAAATACTTTTTTATAAAAGAAGTTGGGGCCAGGCACGGTGGCTCATGCCTGTAATCCCAGCACTTTGGGAGGCCGAAGCAGGCAGATCACTTGAGGTCAGGAGTTCGACACCAGCCTGGCCAACATGGTGAAACCCCTGCCACAACTAAAAATACAAAAATTAGCCGGGTGTCATGGTGCACACCTGTAATCCCAGCTACATGGAGGCTGAGGTGGGAGGATAGTTTGAACGCAGGAGGCAGAGGTTGCAGTGAGCCAAGATCGTGGCACTGTACTCCAGCCTGGGTAACAGAGCAAGACTCTGTCTCAAATCATAATAATAATAAATAAAAGAAGTTGAAAGTCAACTTTTTTTGTTTGGTTCTGTGAAGTGTCTTGCCTGGGCCTGCAGAACCTGGGCTCATATCCCTCTGAAAGCACGGCTTGCATCCCATATAAACACTTGTGTCTGTTCTCAAATTACATTTTGAGCTATTTGAGGGCAGGGACTCTTCTTCCCTCCTTGACTCTTTCTTTCCACAAATATTTATTGAACACCTACTGTGTGCCATCATTATCTCCCTTCCACTCCACCCTAACTATTAGCATGTCTGTCTTTGAATGTTCGGGTCTCAGTGTTACATGAATAAATAAATGAATGGAAAAATGGAGTTTTAGGTGGGACTCCAGGAAGTGGACCAGGGTCTGAGGTTCTCCTGGAAGGCTTACATGTGGTTAACATCTTAGAATTGGGGCCAGGTGCAGCGGCTCAGGACTGTAATCCCAGTGCTTTGGGAGGTTGAGGCAGGAGGACTGCTTGAGGCAAGGAGTTTCAGACCAGCCTAGGCAACAGAGTGAGACTCTGTCCCTACAAAATTATAAAAATAAAATAAAATGAATTAGCCAGGCATGGTTATGTGTTCCTGTAGTCCCAGCTACTTGGGAGGCTGAGGTGGGAGGATGCCACGAGCCCAGGACTTCAAGGCTGCAGTGAGCTATGATTGTGCCCATGCACTCCAGCCTGTGTGACAAAGCAAGACCCTGTCTCTGGAAAAATAAAAAAAATCTTAGAATTGGGATGGAAGGCAACAGAGAGACAAGCTGGTCTCGGGTAGGAATAAGGACTGATAGTGATCAGTACCAACTTGGCTGCCATTTTGCCTTATGACTGGAAGATGTAACTCTTTGGACTGCGGTTGTTCTATCCCTAAAACGAGAGCAACCTCAAGATTTCTTGCAGATTTAGAGTTCTAGGATTCTCCAGAAACATTTACCCCTAAAACCAATAAAGTCAGATCCTTCCATAAAAGAATTATGACACCACCAGATTCGTCCCCTGCACTTTCTCTTCTTGGACTGTCTCTTCTTAGTCTCCCTTGGAACTGGATTTGTCTTTTCTTGTTCAAGAATCTATACTGGCTCCCAGTTGCCTATCATATCTAATGTGCCTTCCTCTCCTTGGCTTTCAAAAAATACACAGTCTGTGCACAGCCTACAAATCTCTCTGACATGCATCCCAGCACACAGCAGTGGAAATCCTCCATTCCAGCGAGGCTGTTTCCTCTCTGCCCCGACTTCCCTTCAGACCTTTACATGTGGTTCCCTCATGGAGTGCCCCTTCCTGTTCCTTTTATGATATCTCAATCCTCCTGATGTCATAAAGTTTCCAATTGGAGCCAAATTTAAGTTGGTTTTGAATAGAACATCCAAAACAAGGACTTACTCCAGGAAAAAAAAAATTTACTCATATTTCCAGACTCAAAACAAACTCTGTGATTCTCTTGGTTAATTTCCTTCCAGTCTTTTTTCTTTGGAGATCTGAGCAGAATTTTAAAGGAGGAACTCCACAACTTACATAGCCATCACCTTTGGTTGGTTGGACATGGAGGTTGCTTCTAATCTTTCACCGTAATCTACATGTCATGACGAACATCCTGTAACTAAATCTTTTTATATGTCTTTAATTATTTCCTTGGGCTAAATTCCTAACAGGTGAATCATCAGGATTAAAGGCTCTTTGATGATGGGGGTGTAGGGTTGGAGGAAGAGGAACCACGCTGTGATCTAAATCCTTCTGTGAGTCCATGGGGCACACTGAGTGAGAAAGTGACAACCTCCATCTTTTTCTTTGGGAACTGGCCGGTTGAGTGGGTGTCCCAGCACCTTTGCATCCCTGCCTATCATTTTTCTGCCCAACATCAAGTTTCTAAGACTTCTAGAAGGTTCTTCAAAGGCAATAGGTAATGGAAAATGAACAGCCAGCATAGCTTTAGTCAGTGGCAACATTTGCCATGCAGTGGCTGAGGATTCTGGAGCTGAGACTCTGCTGAGTCTGTCCCCTCCATTATCCCCACCCCCAAACACCCCCATCCCCCACTCTTGGGTTGATGGACTATGGCACTTGGACAGACACATGTGATTGACTGTGGTATTAAGAAAATATGTATGACACAATGTTTTTTAGCTTTTTCCAGAGATATTTATATCACACAAATGGCATGTTGGTTTCTTTTTTTTTTTTCCATCTCAACCACTAAGAATGAATAAATCAATTGTCTTAATCAGGCTAATGGAGAGTGCATGGGCTAGAAACATAGGTGGGAGGGGCTCTTCATCTGAGCCTGTTGCTCCATTAGCAGGGGTAGAGGGGCCTGGCAAAGTCCCGTCATTATCTCTGGGCCTCTGTTTCCCTGTCCTTGGGATGGGCATCTGACCACTCATGACTTTGCAGGATAAAGATTGTCAGAAGCATTTGGAGTTCCTTGGAAGAAAGTAGCTGCATGAATTTTTAATCCTCTATTTTCAGCTCTTTGGAGCCGTGTGTAGGAGCAGGGCTGTAAACACAGAGAACTCACCGCTACATTCTAGTTTATAAGGTTTTTGTCTCACACAATCCCACAGACCTGACCTTAAGAACAACTCAAAATGTGGGCGAAAAGCAGTTTGTTGTGGTCGTCGTTATCACATAAAAATTAATGGCTTGGCAAACACAAGGATCATCCTGTCACGCTGAGGTCATGTTTACACCAAGCAAATATATTTCAAGGTTCCTAGAGTTTCAGCAGCACTGCAAGGCAGAATCAACACAATTCCCAAGCAAGACTCAGAATCCGGTGCCAGATTCACCCTGGTTCCAGAGGGAGACATTAGTGAGTATTAATTCTGCAATTAGAATGCCATCCGTTTCCAAATTCCTTATGGCTGAAGCAGGTTTTTTTGTTTTTGAGACAGAGTTTTTGCTCTGTCGCCCAGGCTGGAGTGCAATGGTGCAATCTCGGCTCACTGCAACCTCCATCTCCCGGGTTCAAGTGATTCTCCTGCCTCAGCCTCCTGAGTAGCTGGGACTACAGGTGCCCACCATCACGCCCAGCTAATTTTTGTATTTTTAGTAGAGATGAGATTTCACCATGTTGGCCAGGCTGGTCTTGAACTCTTGACCTCAGGTGATCCACCCACCTTGGATTCCCAAAGTGCTAGGATTACAGGCATGAGCCACAGTGCCCAGCCTGAAGCAGGTTTTTTAGTTCCTAACTTATTGAGGCCTGCTAGTGCCACTGATCAGTGAAAAAAAGAAAAGGAAAATTCATAAGGTCATAGGATCCACACTTGGATCTCATTCATTGCTTATGCATTAATTCACCAAATATTTATTGAAGTGGGCCAGGGCCTGAGATTCTCCCCGAGGCTTACATGTGGTTAACATCTTAGAACTGGGGCTGGGTGCGGTGGCTCAGGCCTGTAATCCCAGTGCTTTGGGAGGTTGAGGCAGGAGGACTGCTTGAGGTTAGGAGTACCAGACCAGTCTGGGCAACATAGTGAGACTCCATCTCTACAAAAAAATTAAAATAAAAATAAATTAACCAAGCATGGTCGTGTGTTCCTGTAGTCCCAGCTACTTGGGAGGCTGAGGGGGGAAGATGTTATGAGCCCCGGAGGTCAAGGCTGCAGTAGCTATGATTGTGTCACTGCACTCCCCAAAGTCTCTACCAGGGACTGTGCTAAGTGCTGGGGACACAGTGGGTGGCAAAAGCAGAATGGTCCCTTCCTAGGGGAAGGCTGTAGTCAGGTCAAGAAGATGGACATTAATCAGTAATTGCAAAAGGAAATGTAAAATTACAACCAAATTCGGAGCTGTGAAAGGAAGGCTGGGGGACAGATCATTGTCAGAGGAGGATCTGAGGTAGCCTTGGGGTACAAGTGGACAGAACCCAGTGGGAGGATGGGAAGGAGGAAGGCACTGCGTAAGCCAAGGTCCATGGTAGGACGGAGGGGCAATTTGGGGATATGAAAGTCCAGAGTAGCAAGAAGGAAGGGGAGAGAAGTATAAGATGGATCTAGTCTATGGCCATATGGACCCTGAACTCACCCCATCTCATCTAAAAGATGGAGCTAGGCACACCCACTGGGATGGCAAACATTATTATTGTTACTATTATTTTGAGACAGAGTGTTGCTCTGTTGCCCAGGCTGGAGTGCAGTGGCACAATCTCGGCTCACTGCAATCTCCATCTCCCAGGGTCAAGCAAATTCTCCTGCCTCAGCCTCCCAAGTAGCTGGGACTACAGGCACACGCTACCACGCCCAGCTAATTTTTGTATTTTTAGTAAAGACGGGGCTTCACCATATTGGTCAAGCTGGTCTCGAACTCCTGACCTCAGGCAATCCACCCCGCTTGGCCTCCCAGAGTGCTGGGATTACAGGCGTGAGCCACTGTGCCCGGCGCAAACTTTTTTTTTTAACAGAAAATAACAAGTGTTGGTTGGCAAGGATGTAAAAAATTGGAGCCCTGGTGCACTGCTGGTGAAAATGTAAAATGGGCAGTCACTGAGGAAAATAGTGTGGCGGTTCTTTGACAAGCTAAACACAGAGTTACTGCAGAACCTAGCAGTTCCATTCCTAAGTATGTACCCCAAACAATTGAAAACAAAGGTTCAGGCCAGGCGCGGTGGCTCACACCTGTAATCCCAGCACTTTGGGAGGCCAAGGCAGGGGAATCAGGAGTTGAGGTCCTGACTGAGGTCAGGAGTTCGAGACCAGCCTGGCCAACGTGACAAAACCCCTTCTCTACCGAAAATACAAAAATTAGCCAGGCGTGATGGCGCACTCCTGTAATCCCAGCTACTCGGGGGGCTGAGGCAGGAGAATCGCTTGAACCCGGGAGGCAGAGGTTGCAGTGAGCCGAGATTGCGCCACTGAATTCCAGCCTGGGGAACAGAGGGAGACTCTGTCTCCAAAACATAAATAGATAGATAGATAAATAAACAAATAAATAAATGCAAATATTCAAATGAAAACTTACCCACAATTGTTCATAGAGCACTATTCACAATAGCCAAAAGGTGGAAACAACCCAAATGACCCCTAGCCAGTGAATGGATCAACAAAATGTGGTCCATCCAGGCAATGGAACAGCACTGAGCCATAAGAAGAAAGGAAGCACTGGCATGCGCTACAGCATGGATGAGCCTTGAACACATGATGCTGAGTGGGAGAAGCAGACACAAAGATTATATATCGTAGGATTCCACTTACATGAAATATCCAGAACAGGCAATCCATAGAGACAGAGAGCAGATTGGCAGCTGCCAGGGGCCAACGGGAGGGAAGAATGGGAAGTGACTGCTAATGGGTACCGAGATTCTGTTTGGGGTGATGGAAAACTTCTGGACCTGGCCAGGCATGGTGGCTCACCCCTGTAATCCCAGCAGTCTGGGAGGCCAAGGTGGGTGGATCACCTGAGGTCAGGAGTTCAAGACCAGCTTGGCCAACATGGTGAAACCCTGTCTCTACTAAAAATACAAAAATTAGCCAGGCGTGGTGGCAGGCACCTGTAATCCCAGCTACTCGGGAGGCTGAGGCAGGAGAATCACTTGAACCTGGGAGACAGAGGTTACAGTGAGCCAAGATCATGCCACTGCACTCCATCCTGGATGACAGAATGAGACTCTGCCTCCAAAAAACAAAACAAAACAAACAAATAAAAAAAAAAAAAAGATGGTGGCAGCTCACACCTGTAATCCCAGCAACTGGGGAAGCTAAGGCAAGAGGTGTGGCAGCTCACACCTGTAATCCCCAGCAACTGGGGAAGCTTGAGGCCAGGAGTTCAAGACTAGTCTGGGCAACATGATGAGATTTGATCTCTACAGAAATAAAAATAAAAATTAGCTGGGCATGGGGGCAAGCACCTGTGGTCCCAGCTACTCAAGAAGCTGAGGCAGGAGGATTGCTTGTGTCCAGGAATTCAAGGCTGCAGTGAGCTACGATCACACTGCTGCACTCCAGCCTGGGCAACAGAGGGAGACCATGTCTTTAAAAAAAAAAAAAAAAAAAAAAAAAAGATGGCGCTAGAGAGACAGTTGATACAGGGTATGGATGGTGACCATCATTGATCATCATGGCTGCTGGTGGGTAGTGGATGGGAGTGAGAACAGCATTAAGAGGAAGGCCAGTGATGAGGCGGGGACAGTGGTCCAGGAGGAAGATGCAGGTGGCCTGGACCAGGGGGCACACAGTGAGCCACGTGTGTCAGGCAAAACCAAGAGGGCTTAGTGAGGATCTGGATGCACAATCATTCAATATAGACTCAACTCTGCCCCTCCTATTCAGCACCTGTATGCACTTATGGATGGGAGGAGAGTGTTGGAGGGAGAAAGTATATGTTCTCATAGGGATGCTGAAGAACAGGTCAGAAGACCCCTGGCTTCAAATTTTGACTTTTTCATTGCCAGATCCCGAGAGAGTAACTTCGTTTCTTTGTGCCTGTGTTCCTTCCCCTGTAAAATCAAGGCCCCAACATGCACTTCATAGGTCGTTGTGAGACGGGGACAACAGCACCTGCCCTGGCTACCTCCTAGGGCTCTTGGGAGACCCAAATGAGTTGTTAATCCTTCAAGGACAACACAGATCACGTTGCTGGGCTGATGTCATTGCTTTTGGAAAGCAGGTCCCTTGAACAGATTCTCCCAAAGCAGTGACTTTAGGAACATCTCGAAGGCGACAGATTCCAGTTGTTAAGGCTACGATGAAATAGCAGAAGACTCTGGGAAGCAGCGTGCAACGAGTGGCAAAGGAGCCCCTAACGCTCTTTCTTCTGTGCTCGCCCCGCCCCCTCCGGCGTGGGCCCCGCCCCGACTAAGCCCCAGCCAGGCCCCGCCCCCGATGTTAGCGCAAGCCACGCCTCCTCAGCTCCCAGCCTTCTGGGTCCGAGGCTCCCACCTGCTCTAAGCGCTTGGTACCAGGGAGGGAATGGGAGGACGCTTGCGGGATAGGGAGGCGGGGGCTGGAAATTGGCAGGGTGAGAGCTGGGGAAACTAGTCTGGGACGCAGCCCTCCTTGTCCCCCTTCTTCATTCACCCCCTTGTTGAGGCCCTTGGCTTTTGCATAATGTAAGTACTTATTTAATGCGTGTGCTGGCTCGAGAGCTCTGCATTTGTCTTTCTGTCCTTCATATGCCAGTGTACCTCCGCCTTCTGTCTGTCTAGGTGGGAGCTCCTGGAGAGGAGGGTGCTTCCCAGCAGTTGCTGTTCGACCCCCAGCCCCGGGCCAAGGGCACAGAGAGAGAGACAGAGAGGCTGGGGCTGCAGTGGGGGTGGGGAGGTGGGAGCTGGGGCGGGGCGGAGGGAGCGAGGGGGAGGAATGAGAGCACCATATGACAGGCTTGTGGAACCACATCTGATGCCAACTTGGATGCTGTCCTTTTTCTCCAATAAAAGGAACTTTTCACTTGTTTTTCAGACACCCTTTAAAAAAATGTATTTAAAGAGGCTGGTTCCTATCCATCCGACTGGAGGCATCTCAGTGCAAGAGCAAAGCTAAGTCCTGCACACGCTCCTCCCCTCCTCCTCCTCCTTCTCCCCCCAGGTTTTCCCGAATGTATCTACTCCGGTTACAACTAGACGCGGCCCCTCCCCCACCTGCCTCCCCCCTTCCTTCCCTCGATCGTGGAGGGAGCGTTCTCTGTGCCTTCCCAAGTCCCCGTGGGGGACCTTCTATGTTGGAGTGGGGGGAGGGGGGGAGGGTCATATAACGAAGGCCAGAAAGAACAAATTAGATAATCAAAAGAATTATAGTAATTGCTTTCACTTTCCCCCGCCCGCTCAGCGGATTCCCTCCCCCGCCCCTCCCCTGGTTTTTCTGTCTGTCGGGAATACTCGGTCTTTCCGACCCCCTCCCCTCCCCCAGGTTCCTCCTCTCCTCTCCCCTTGCTCGCGCGTTCCCTCTCTTCCTCCGTTTTCTGGTGTGCTGGAACGTTCAGCGGAATATGATGAATGATCACCTGTCACAGCTTGTTTATTATAATGCAGGCAATCAATTACACATCCCCAATGCTGGCCGGCCCGCAGGAAATTTATATGCTCAGCACAAACCAATGTGAAAATGGAATCTCATTTGCCAAATGTCTTTCTCCCCGTACAGCACGATGATTACAGTCTGTGTTTGTTTCAACAGTCGTGTACAACTGACAGTGCCATCATTTACTGCCTGGCTCAGGTCACGTTACTCTAAGGCTTTATTTATGGTGTTACGAAGGGCAGCACAGGAAAAGGACAAGGGTGTCTGTCAGGGATGGCACTGTGTTAAAAAGTGGGCGTGCAAGGGCCGCATTCCCGGGCAGCCGCTGCAACCTCAGCCCCTGGGCCCTTACCTCCGCAGCCTCTCCCAGCATCCAGCTACCCAGACTCCAAGGCCCCAGGCGAGAGCCAGCTCTCGGTACCTGGAGCTCCACAGGTCCCAGAATCGGGGTGGATCAGAGTTCAAATTCTGGTTCTGCTACTGTCTAATTGCGTGCTGCAGGGACTCAATCTCTTCATCTGGGAAATGGGAGTAATAACCCTTGGCAGGAATGTTGCGATCCTCTGGGATGTCAGAGGTGTTGATGAATGTTAGTTCCCGGGACTTCGGAAAGAGGTCCCGTTGGAAGAGATGTGAATTGGAATTCACACCCTATATTAAAATCTCCTCCAATCTTCACCTCTGAGACATGGCTGTCTCAAGACTGTTTTGTTTCCCTTCCTGGTGGAATTTTGCACTTTTATGTCCTGTGTAGCAGCAGGTAGTGTGGCTTTGAGAAAATAAAATGGCCACCTTGCTCCGCTGTTCTTTCTTTGTAAAAAAAAAAAAAAAAAAAAAAAAACGGCATAGCAATCTTGGCCTTTCTAGCTGTGTGACCCCAGGCCGGTCAATCCCTCCTCCTCTCCAAGCCTCGGATTCCTCCCCTGAGAAGTAAAGAAAATAACTCCTAAACTGCCTCCCGAGGCTTGCTGGCAGGATCCAAGGTGTCCAGAGATGTTAAAAAAAAAAAAAAAAAAAAAAAAAAGCCCAGTAAATGGGAAAGTGAGGCTGTCACTGCTGAGTGGCATCCTGTTTTCAGGAGTTCTGGTTGGTCCCCAGAGTTCTGCTACACAAAATGTTGACCCAAATTTGTACCCCCACAACACTTGGTGTCAAGTGGGAGCTCAGAAACTGAGGGGCAGGCAGATGCTTTTATGTGTATTAGGTTGTCTTTTATTGTATTGTATAGTTCCTTTTTTTTTTTTTTTTTTTGAGATGGAGTCTTGCTCTATTGCCCAGGATGGAGTACAGTGGCACGATCTTGGCTCACTGCAACCTCCACCTCCTGGGTTCAAGCAATTCTCCTGCCTCAGCCTCTCAAGTAGCTGGGATTACAGGCACGTACCACCATGCCTGGCTAATTTTTGTAATTTTAGTAGAGACAGGTTTTCACCGTGTTGGCCAGGCTGGTCTCGAACTCCTGACCTCAACTGATCCACCCACCTCAGCCTCCCAAAGTGCTGGGATTACAGGCTTGAGCCACCGTGCCCAGCCTGTACTATATATTTCTTTATTATTTGACACGTGTATTTGTTTAATGGCCCTCTGCTCCACCAGTATGGAAGCTCCAAAAGGAAAGATACCAGATTGATCTTGATCACCTCTGCCTCCCCAGCACCTAGTCTTCCTTGGCACATCGTGAGTGCTCGGTAAATATCTGTGGCTTTAATGGATGAATGAATGAATGACTACATGGCTAAACTCCATTCTAGGGCAACATCTGTGGTGCAGTGGATGGGCCCTAGTGAATGGATATTTAACGGATATCGTACTATTCCTCATCTCCACAGGGTCAGGCTGTGCCACATCCACCCAGCCTTGCCTGGGGTCATTTATCCTACATGTACTCAGATCACGTGAACTGGTGATGGGCCACCCATGTGCCTGCCTGGAGACTCCTATTCACCCTTCAGATCAATATCCCCCAAATAAACTCCCAGTCACTCTGGCATCCCATGTTGCTTTGTGATCTCTGCCTCTCTCTAGACCATTTGGCTCCTATGCACAGGCAGCTATGTCTTTTTCATATTTGGGTCCCCAAAATGCACAGTGCGGTGCCTGCCTCAAAACAAATGCTTTTCAATCCGTCAATCAATCAGTTGACATGGATCATCTTTTCTCAGCACTGATGTATGGACTACAACTTGGAATTCCATTAAAGCTCCTGGGGTCAAGAAAAAAAGTGATTCAAGTTTATTTATTTATTTTTTTTTGAGACAGAGTCTCATTCTGTCGCCCAGGCTGGAGTGCAGTGGCACGATCTTGGCTCACTGCAACCTCTGCCTCTGGGGTTCAAGTGATTCTCACTCATGCCTCAGCCTCCCAAGTAGCTGGGCAAGAGCCAGCACACCCGGGCTAATTTTTGTATTTTTAGTAGGGACGGGCTTTCGCCATGTTGGCCAGACTGGTCTCGAACTCCTGGCTTCAAGTGATCTGCCCACTTCAGCCTCCCAAAGTGCTGGGATTACAGGCATTTAATCACTGCACCCGGGTGAGCCACTGCACCCGGCCAAGTTCATATTCTAAAAGTGAAACATTAATGCTGCATTGTGTATTTTTTGGTCAAGTGCTTCAGATGTGTGGAAGGAATTTCTTTGTATAAATGCAATTATTCGTCACCATGATGATAATTATAACGAGGGTGACTGCACAGAACTGTGCCTCCCCAGCAAGCATGGGCTGGGCAGGGCCGGGTATTCCCTTCGCTGACTTGCTTCACTAGTTGACTAACAGACCTTATTCCCGGGCCTGAGCTGATGATATCCTGCCAATGCCAGCTTCCCAACATGGAGGGGACGCAAGAGCGAGCGCCATGGGATCCTGGGGGAAAAGCAGCCTGTGTTTGCTGCTGCTTTGACAGTTGAGGCTCTGAGAGGGACTGGCAAACAATGGGAAATGAAACATTTGAGTGGTTGCAAAAAATTCCATGGGAAATCCCCCCTGGTGGTATTTATGTGCGACGGCTGTGACAAGGAGAGCGCAGGGCTTTCGATTTCAAGGGTTCCTGAGCAGACCACAATGGCCTTCCAAGATGGCAATCCCCGGGAACAGCTCTCTCGGCCACAAAAGGCCAGTTTGTCTGTCCAGGGAAGATCTGGCCCCATGCATCAAGTTGGCCATGAGCTGCAGTGTCTTCTTTGGGGCATGACCCACATTTATAGGGTCTGGGCCTCTGAACCTTCTGCTCCTAAGACAGATCTATCTCAGTTGTCCCTCTGGTTTTCCCAGGCCTCAAGGACCTGGGGGCTGATAGGGGCTGAGGGGTTTCCCTCGGGCTCAGCCTCCATCTGCAGAACTGTGGGAACCTCAGCCTCCATCAGACCCCTCCCCATTTTCTGGTCAGCACGTGGCCTCCTCCTGTTTCCTCCATTCCCGTTGGTAATGGACATTTATTTAACTTTTACTCCCCCTCCATTCTCATTTAGAAAAGAAAGTGAACTGATATTAACCAATCTTTGTTTTGCCTTCTTTAACACTAATGCATATGCAAAATAGTTACCACTATTGATAATATCTTATTGCTGCTGTGATATATGTGTGTATATGTACAGATCTGCTTGAAGGTAAGCTTTATATAGATTTTTAGAGATACTTGGTAAATGAGAAAATGGAAACTGAAAGAGGTTAAATAAACTGCCCATGTGTATTGGTCATGAGGTTTCAGTTGCAAAGTGACAAAATCCTGACTTAGATGAACTTAAACCGGATGGAAAATGTACATTGTATTATTTGAGAAGCAAGGTCTGGATAAGCTTCAGGCATGGCTGGATCCAGGCCCTCAGTTAAGTCTTTAGGAATTTCCCTCTCTCTAGCTTTTTGGCTTTGCTTTTCCCTGTATTGGTTTCATGTTTAGATTGGCTCACTTCACCTGTTTTACATCTTTCCAGAGTCAAATCCAGCCTTTTTCCTGGTTGCCTCCATAAAAGTCCCAGGGTTAGGTTTAGTGTGCTCTGATAGATTCAGCTGCCCATTGCTGAAGCAGTGACTCTGGCAACAGGGATGGACTGATCTAAGTGCCCAGGTTCCAGTCACTGCTGAAGCCCAGCCAGACCACCTGGACACAGTAAGAGTGAGTGGTTCCCCCAAAGAAAACTGGGGTGCTCTTACCAGAAGAAGGAGGAATCGACAAAAAGACCTGATGTCCTAAACTCCCGTGTCACACTGTCACTAATGGGCAGGCAGACCCATACAGCAGCTCCTCTGCATCTTCATGCTGCTAGAGACCACCACCGGGACCACCTCCCTCCTCCATGCTCTATCCTGCCCTGTGCCTCCAGCCCCGCCCCTGCTGCAGGAATTCACTCTAGTCAGTAGTTTTCAAAATGTGCGGGAAGGAGGAAGCCAGTGGAAGAGAGCAGGTGGCTGGGTGACCTGTGGCTATGGGATTCCCCTCCTCTATTTCAACCATCCAGCAATTCTTGTGTCTCTTTGTAGATTCAGTTTCCTTGTACACTTTTATTTAAACAAAGGACACCCCAGATTTTTTAAACTTGCAAATCAGCAATTTTTCTGGAATCTATGTCTACTTACCCTAAATTAAGGAACAATAGCTCAGAAAGAGGCAGGAAACTGACAACACGTCAAATGAGTGCCAAGGGGATCTGAGAAACCACACCTCCCGATTCCCATCTCTTGCCCTTTGCACCCACGGCCTTGCAGATGGGGTCAAGATTTGTGGGCTTCTGATTTATTGGCCAAGGATGCAGACCTTAACATGTAAGTGGAGCAGCTTCCCAGAAAAGAGAAGGAAGAGGATACCTTTGCACAGTTTTTTTCTAGTCTCTGGGTTCTGTGCCCCCAGGGCAGGCAGCCTCTGGGGACTCCCTGTAGGTAGGATCCTGCCAGAATGGAGAAAAACATCCCAATTCCTGTTATTCCCTCCTGGTCCTGGGAGCTTACATCACCATTCCAGGAGAACTTACATGAGCAAGCCATGTCATGCTTCCGTTTAGGAGGATGTTTACAAACCACTATTCTGTCCTCTGAGTGTCTGGAAAGCTGGTGTCTGTGTACCAGGCCCTGCAATGCATTTCAAACACAGCTTTCTGCTGCACTGATCAGTGCTAATCCTCATAGGTAACCTTTCTGAGCACTTCCAGCATTCCTGGAACTGTGTGCTAAGTGCTTGACATGTATCATTTCATTGAATCTTCCCAACAACCCAATACCATAGGTAGCAGTATTATTTTCATTTTATAGCTGCAAATAAACGAAGGTGCAGAAAGGTGAATGAATTTGTCTGAGGTCCATCAGCCAGGTTCAAACCCAGGCAATCAGAGTCAAGAGAATGAACTAGATGCTACGGTACATTGCTACGCTTAGACGCACCAGGAAAGCTCTGGACGAGGAAGATGTAGGTTGTTGCCAGCACCTATGCACGGACAGACAGAAAGTCCTCTGCTTCCTTCAGGCCCTTGCTTCCACTTCCCCGGGGCTTCCAGCTGAGCCTGCATTTTTCTTTGACTTCCCCCTCTTGCCTGGCGTTTTCAGCAAACACACACAGAGGATTACGGGGAGAAAACTATCATATTACCAAGTGGACATGGCTCCTAAGGTGCCAACTGAACACAGGTAAGTCGGGTAAGGAAAGGCACACAGTCTCATTACTTAGACTACCCCGCAGCCGCTTATTGAATTAGTGTGATTCTTAACATCTTCAACTTGGATCTCCTCCAGGCCAGCCGGCTGGTGCATTCAGTACGACTCAGCTCGCCTTAACTCAATTAACAAAGCCAGGCTGAGCCGGGCTGAGCTGAACTCAACAAGTTTTTCTTAAGCACTGAGCTGGCTGCAGAGGGGAAAAAAAAGCAACAAAGGAGAGCAAGACGCTGCCTTGGCCCTTTAAGAGTTGCCTTGCGCGCTTAGTGGATAATACGGTGCCGTATTTTCTAAGTATCACCTTGGTGGTTTTTGCCATACCTGCACTCCCTCTGTGCTATTATTTACTTCATATTTTTCTTTAAACAAATTCACTTCCTTTTTCAAACTTATTTTTTTTAATTATTGAGGTGAAGTTGACATACCATAAAATTAACCATTTGAAAGTGAATTCTTAGAGCATGATGCTCATCTGAAGAAAAAAGTAAAAATAAAGTGAATTCAGTGGCATTTAGTACTTTATAGCGTTATGTGACCATCACCTTTATCTAACTCCAAGACATTTTCATTACGTCAAAATGAAACTCCATAACCTTTAAGTAGTCACGCCCCATTCCCTTCTCCCCGACAACCCCTGGTAACCATCAAACTGCTTTCTGTTTCTGTGGATTTATCTATTCCGGATGTTT
This sequence comes from Homo sapiens, assembly GCF_000001405.40. Lineage (NCBI taxonomy): Eukaryota > Metazoa > Chordata > Mammalia > Primates > Hominidae > Homo > Homo sapiens. The sequence goes on from NC_000012.12 coordinate 116,540,850, forward strand.
CATGTAAGTGGAATCCTACAGTATCCTTGTGGTTCTGGCTTATTTTACTTAGCATAATATCTTTAAGGTCCATCCATGTTGTAGCATGAATCAGTGCTTCATTCCTTTTCATGACTGAATAATATTCCATTGTGTGGATAAACACAACTTGTTTACCCACCCACCCATTCATTGATGGACATTTGAGCATTTCCATCTTTTGGCTATTGTGATTAGTTAAGTAAGTTTAGTTTAGTTTAGTTTTTAAGATGGAGTCTTGCTCTGTCTTCCAGGCTGTAGTGCAGTGGCATGATTTTGGCTCACCACAACCTCCACCTCCTGGGTTCAAGCAATCCTCCTACCTCAGCCTCCCAAGCAGCTGGGATTACAAGTGTGTGCCCCCATGCCTGACTAATTTTTGTATTTTTAGTAGAGATGGGATTCCTCCATGTTGGCCAGGCTGGTCTCAAACTCCTGACCTCAAGTGATCCACCTGCCTCGGCCTCCCAAAGTACAGGGATTACAGGCATGAGCCACCGTGCCTGGCCCAAATAAGTTTACTTTAAAAGGAAATTCTACATCACTACAGTAAACGGGAAGCCAATATTTTTATAATACACAATACAATACCTACATAACTATTAGAAGGACAAATTTCATCTTTGTAGGTCATAAAAATCATCCTGTGAACTATCAGATGCAATCGTAAAAAGGCTGGGCTCAGGGAGTGGTCGGACTTGAGTTCAAATCCTGACTTTGCCATCTGTGTGACTCTGGGCAAGTGTCCTGTCCTCCCTGAACCTCAGTTTCTTTATTTGTAAAATGATAAGACTTAATATTCCTTCCTCTTGTAGTGGTTATGGGAATTAAGATCATGAGTGGCCTGGCAGAGTGGCTGCCACCTGTGATCCCAGCACTTTGGGAGGTCAAAGCAGGAGGATGGCTTGAGGCCAGGAATTCAAGACCAGCCTGGGCAACATAGCAAGACCCCATCTCTACAAAAAGTTTAAAAAATTAACTGCGTGTGGTGGCACACACCTGTGGTCCCAGCTACTCGGGAGGCTAAAGTGAGAGGATCACTTGAACCCAGGACTTTGAGGCTGCAGTAAGCTATGATCGTGCCACTTCACTCCAGCCTGGGCTTAATAGGGCAAGACCCCATCTCTAAAAAATAATATTTTAAATAAATAAATAAAACCATGTGTAAAGTGTTAGAACCATGCCAGGTACATAGCAAGCCCTTCGAAACACAAAAGCTGGTAGGTAAAACTACAGGTCATACACCCACTAGCGGTCAATATATTAGCAGCTAACAAAGTAAATATTTGTTGTGTGCCAGAAACTGGGTGAAGCACCTTCCAGGTGTTATGTCATCTTCTCAGGGTTCTAAGAGGCAAATATTATTATCCCCATTTCATAGATTGGAGAACAGAGGCAAAGAGAGGTGGAGCCAGTAGTCAAACATTCATGAAAGTTTAGGCCGGGCATGGTGGTTCACGTCTGTAATCCCAGCACTTTGGGAGGCCGAGGTGGGTCGATCACCTGAGGCCAGGAGTTCGAGACCAGTCTGACCAACATAGTGAGACCCTGTCTCTACTAAAAATGCAAAAATTAGCCAGATGTGGTGGTGTGTAGTCTTAGCTACTCGGGAAGCTGAGGCAGGAGAATTGCTTGAACCCAGGAGGCAGAGGTCGCAGTGAGCTGAGATCATGCCACTGCATTCCAGCCTGGGCGACAGAGCGAGACCCTGTCTTGAAAAAAAAAAAAAGTTCATAAAAGTTCATACAGTGCAGGACTTGAACTCCAGGAAAGTTAAACGACAGTATGAGAAGTAACTAAGAATCACCTCCGGTGGAAAGTGGCCCCGGGGCAGGGGTGATTCATCGCAAAATGGCTTCCTGAGCCCCTGAGGTCCAGCCTGGGCAGTGGCAGTGCGCGGCAATCCTGGCCCAGTGGCTCTGTCCTTCTTGGATTCCTTCCAGCAATGTCTCTTTATCAAGTCGCTCTTCCTCGGGTCTGCCAAGACTAGTCTCCCTGAGAGACTGCTCTCAGCCTTCACATCTTTTCTAGTTGATATCCCTCTAGCAGTTAATGGCTTCACCTGCCCTTCCTGTATTCCATCACCCAAAGACAAATCCAGTGTCCCTAAAACCTCACCTGTGCTCTGCAATCTCTCTCACTAGTTCCACGCTGCATCTGAGCCCTCGAGACTGCCATACAGCCTCTTACTAATTATCCACCCTGGTGCAAAAATTAGCACGTCTCAGGTTCACATGTATCCATTATACCTTCACCGATAGGGATGCAGTCTGCATAATTCACAGTTTTAGTCTGCATGGGGAATCCTGTCTCACCCATTGGCAACACTAGCATGGGGGTTGTATTACTCTTCTAGGGCTGTTGTAACTAATCACACAAACTTCGGGGGTTAAAACAACAGAAATTTATTTTCTCATGGTTCTGGAGGCTGGAAGTCTGAAATCAAGGTGCAGGCAGGGCCAAGCTCCTTCTGAAGGCTCTAGGGGACAATCCCTCCTTGCCTTTTCCAGCTTCTAGTGGCTCCTAGAATTATATTATTATTTATTTTTTGAGACAGAGTCTCACTCTGTTGCCAAGGCTGGAGTGCAGTGGCGCAATCTCAGCTCACTGCGACTTCTGCCTCCCAGATTCAATTGATTCTCCTGCCTCAGCCTCTTGAGTAGTTGGGACTACAGGCATGTGCCACTACACCCAGCTAATATTTGTATTTTTAGTGGAGACAGGATTTCGCCATGTTGGCCAGGCTGGTCTCGAAATCCCAACCTCAAGTGACCTGCCCGCCTCGGCCTCCCAAAGTGCTGGGATTACAGGCATGAGCCACCGCACCCGGCTGGCCCCTAGAATTCTTTGGTTGGTGGCTGCATACCTCCAGTCTCTGCTCTGTCTTCACATGACCTGCCTCATGCATTTTTGTGTGTCCTTTTCTGTCCCTCATAGGACACTTGCCACTGGATTTAAGGCCTGTCCTCATTCAGGATGATCTCATCTTGAACCTGGCCTAATTACATCTGCAAAAACCCTATTTCCTAATAAGATGACATTCTGAGATTCTGAGTGGATATGAATTTTAGGGGACAGTTTTCAACCCCCTGGATGGGGCTTCACAGAGAAGAGGTGCCTGGTAGTCTTTGTAACTGGCTTATTGTATATTTCAACACCCTGGACACACACATAAAAGGGTTCTTCTCTCAAGACAATTGTCAATGACATTCTTGCCAATCTCCTTTTCCCAGTCCTTTGTGGCATCATGAACAGATCCTGTAACTTTCTGGCCACTTCCCAATATTGAAAAGGCCAAGCCAGAGAGTCTGGCTCTGTCGCCCCGGCTGGAGTGCTGTGGCGTGATCTCAGCTCACTGCAACCTCTGCCTCCTGGGTTCAAGTGGTTCTGCTGCCTCAGCCACCTGAGTAGCTGGGACTACAGGCAAGTGCCACCATGCCCAGCTAATTTTTGTATTTTTAGTAAAGCCGATGTTTTGCCATGTTGGCCAGGCTGGTCTTGAACTCCTGGCCTCAAGTGATCTACCCACCTCAGCCTCCCAAAGTGCTGGGATTACAGGTGTGAGCCACCATGTCCGGCTGCCAGTTTACTTTAAAACAGCCACCTAGTCCCCATCTCCTAACTCAGGTTTGACGCACAGCCTGAGGAAACTGGAGAGGACCTGGCCACCTTTTGCTTCCTTCTCCCCGTGTTTCTGGCTCCCAAAGTACACCAAGGAGGAGGATTTCATGGGCAAACAAATTTGGCCAATGCTGCATTAAACCAAGTTACCCAGATGTCTCTACTTCAGGGTCAGTTGATGTGTGAATGTTCATCCAAGAACAGGTGGTTTCCAAACTTCTTCAGCCCAGGACACTATTTTTCCACAGAGCGTCCTACCTCCCTAGTGTTCCCCAGAGCACACTTTGTGAAACACCACACAATAAAAAGTACTGCCAAATATAAAGTATATCCACAACTATTACGTTTGCATAGCAATAGAAGATGAGTTTTTGAGTAAACACAGCAACTGTGGAACAGTTTTGTGATTTATTCAGAAAACTGGCTCCAAGATCGCTGTGGACAAGACCCAACTTGGCTGGGAGATTGTAATCCCTCAGTAGAGCCACGTGGACAGTGAAGCTGGCCGAAGTTTACTCTGAGAAAGGATCAGAGACTGAAATTGCTCTGATTTTCCTAAACCCAGCTTCTGTAGTCAGGAAGAGGTAACTGTCATATTTAAAGGCAAGTACTTTCAGGAAAAATTTGCATGATAGTGTGGTCCTATAAGTTATGCAATTCTATTATGCAAATTCAATGATAGGGACTCGGCAGATGATAATAATAATAATATAATAATAAGAGAAAAGATAGAATTAACAAATGCAAGTGGCAAGCAAAGCCTCGCCTTCTTCTCCTGGTGTAGATCTCGGATCCACCCAGTAATCTCTGCTCCCAAGGGCCTCTCAGCCTCAAGCATGAGTCTAGTATTTAAATATCTGTTGTTTTCGTATCCTACGACTTCTAAAAGCCGACCAACTTCAGCTGGTCCTCAGCTGGACAATTGGCAACCTCTTCTGATGCTGGAGAAAACCAGGCTGCCCTGGACTGATGGGGAGAAATTGACCAGCTCCCAACTTAGTGTCTTTCTAAGGATTTCCAAGGATAATTTCTGACCATTGTCTGTTCTCCCTAGAAGCTTTTTTTTTTTTTTTTTTTTTTTTGAGGCAGAAATCACACCACTGGAGTCCAGTGACTCGATCTCTGCTCACTGCAGTCTGTGCCTCCCAGGTTCAAGCAGTCCTCTCACCTCAGCCTCCCGAGTAGCTGAGACTACAGGCATGCACCATCATGCCCAACTAATTTTTGTATTTTTGGTAGAGACATGGTTTCGCCACATTGCGCAGGCTGCTCTCCAACTCCTGGCCTCAAGTGATCAGCTCCCCAGACCTCTCAAAGTGCTAGGAATACAGGCATGAGCCACTGCACCGGCCACCCCAGGAGTTTATCGAGTCACACGACCATGCCATTGAGGCTCCCCTGTAGTCTCAAAACTGAATTGAATCTAGTTTTGTCCATATAATCAAGGAGAATATTTTCTGAAAGCCAGGATTAACCCAACAATTGGATATCACGGGGGCCATCGAGGTGATAAGATGTGAGGAAAGTCAACCAAGCTCACTCCATGCCCCATTCCCAAACTCCCCCATACATACACAAGATAGCCTAGAGAAAAAAAGTTGATCTGACTGTGTTATCAGAAAGGGGTGGTATTACTCAGCAGTCTAGCCGGGATAGGTTTATCCATGTAGCTAACAGGCTGCCAAAGACCAGAGGGGATTTGAAAAGCAGTGTGGGGGCGGGGGGTTGGGGGCAGATATGGAGCCTGTACTCCACCTCTCCAGCTTTCTCCTCCTGCATAACAATTCCCACTGCCCACGGAATGATGCCCAAACTCCAGGCCCTTTGTATGCGTCTCCAGCCCTCATGAGCTGAGACCATCCCTGACCCTAAGGCAGGGTCTGGTTCTCAGTCATCTACCATTCTGCCCAGCCCTGAGCACAGATTTTGGCAGATAAGCCAGAGCTCAATGGATGAAGGTCAAATGAGTGAAAAAGGAACCCACATAAAACTCAGGTACCCTGTGCTCCAGTCTCAGCACTGCGTTATGTCAAAAATAAAATAATTTTTTGGGGGGCCAGGTGGGGTGGCTCATGCCTGCAATCCCAGCACTTTGGGAGGCAAAGGTGGGCAGATCACTTGAGGTCAGGAGTTCAAGCACCAGCCTGGCCAACAAGGTGAAACCTCGTCTCTACTAAAAATACAAAAATTAGCCAGGTGTGGTGGCGTGCGCCTGTAATCCCAGCTACTAGGGAGGCTGAGGCGGGAGAATTGCTTGAACCTGGGAGGCAGAGGTTGCAGTGAGCCAAGATGGTGCCAGTGCACTCCAGCACTCCAGCCTGGGAGACAGAGCAAGACTCTGTCTCAAAAAAAAAAAAAAAAAAAAAAAAATATATATATATATATATATATACACACACATATACATATACATATACATATATATATACATATACATATATATATACATATATATATACATATACATATATATATACATATATATATATATATATATAAACTGAAGAGCACTTGAAATCTTTACATTTCTCTGGGAACACCAAAAAAAAAAATTCCAATTTATATAAAGTAAAGCAAAACTTTTGAATGTTTAGATCTCACCTCCATGGCAGTTGGCTCCAAAATCTCTATTAAATTCCTTCAAACTCTCCTTCAGATCTCACTTCTCTCTTCCCCTTCCAAATATAACTTCCACTATTTCCTGGGAGTGCAGGGAGGCTGGTTAAGCACACGGGCTTCGGGGCACAACTTGCTGAGTTTAAATTTAGTCCTGTCACTGTCTAACTTGGGCAGGTACTTGGCCCATGGTAAGCACTCAATAAATGTAATCCATTGTTGTTAGTTATTAGTATTCTTCAAATTCTGTTGGCTTCTCCAATATTTTTTTTCACTTAGCCCACTTTTCCATCCATGCAGCAAGGAAAGTGTATTCATTTCCCAGGGGTGCCATAAGAAATCATCACAAACTTGGGGGCTTAAAACCACAGAAATCGATGTCCCCACAGTTCTGGAGGCCAGAAGTCCAAAATCAAGGTAGCGGCGGGGCCACGCCCCCTCCAAAGGCTCTCCCGGAGATTCAGTTCCTCGCCTCCTCCAGCCTCTGGTGGCTTTTAGCATTCCTTGGGTCGTGGCTGCGTCGCCCCAATCCCTGCCTCTGTCTCCACGTGGCCTTCCCCTGGCCTCTCTTGTCTGTGTCTCTTCCAAAGACACTTGTCGCGTTGGAGTTAAGGCCCACCCAGATAATCTGGGATGATCTCATTTCGAGAACCGTAACTTAATTACATCTGCAAAGACCATTTTCCCAAATAAGTTCTTATTCACAGATTCTGAGGAAGGGTGGTTGTACATGGATATATTTGTGGGGGTGCATTTATCCCGCTACAAATGACACTGGGTCCTTCTACTTGTGGATGGTGGGTGGGGAGAGGGTTGAACACTCCTGTAATTCTTTCTTTTTTTTTTTTTTCCTTTTCTCCTTGTCATGCTGAATATATCGAGTCAGCAGCCAGCATCAGGTACCTGGGAATGAGGAAGGAAAGACAGGCAGATGGCAAAGGGGCCTGTCAACTTCTCCTTTTCACTGACACTCACGCCACTCTTTGATTTACAACCACAGAATACCTAACTGCAAGAACTGCCGCATCCCTGGTGGTCTGACCTTGTCTCTGAGCTAAGCAGCAGATTTCAGCCACAGCGTCTGACTCTCAGGCAGACACATCCTGTCCAAGGACTGGAGACAGAGCATCCGTTCTCCCACCCAGAGCGGTCAGCTGCATGTGGCTGGTTGGGGGGCGGTTCAGGTTAGTTAGTTATTGATATCCTGTGTTAAGATTCCTGCCTTGGCGGCACTGAAGGGATCCGGGAGGCAGTGACTTCACTCACTCGACTCAAATTGCAATCAGCCAGCCTCTTGGCTCAGGCATTCATCTACCCAGAACTATTTTTGGTGTGTGTTCATAGACAGCACACACCAAAGTATTTGGTATTTGAGATGCAAGCACTAAGGATGATTAAAGTTAGTTGCTAATGAGCATGCCTAGAATAGATATACTCTGTGTGTATGCGTGTGTGTGTGCGCGCGCTCCATGTGTGTGCTCTGTTGCGTGTCTACAAAGCAGATGTCTACACACCTGCCCTTAGGTGACCTCACCAATGTCCATGAACTGGTGCTGCTAGATCAGCTAAGAGGTCCCTGGACGGAAGACGGAAATGGATAACAATTGACCTGTCTCAAAATACTGCCTTACTGGGTACCCATGCTCCCCCATCAGAATCCAATCTACCTTTCAACGTCTAGCTCAGCCCATCTTACCAGGAAGCCTCACTTGACCACCTTCTGAACTTAGACCAAGGCTAGAAAATATGTTTTATCTCGAGTTCCTTGGTTTGTGTCTGCATCACTCCAACCTCTGGTTCCATCTTTACACAGCTGTCTTCCCTCTGTGTCTGTGTCCTCACATGGCCTTATCCTCTGTGTGTGTGTCTGTATTCAAATCTCCCTCTCCAGCTGGGCACGGTGGCTCATGCCTGTAATCCCAGCACTCTGGGAGAGCAAGGCAGGCAGATCACTTGAGGTCAGGAGTTCGAGACCAGCCTGGCCAACATGGTGAAACCCCATCTGTACTAAAAATACAAAAAATTAGCTGGGTGGGGTGGCGAGTGCCTATAATCCCAGCTACTTGGGAGACTGAGGCAGGAGAATCGCTTGAACCCATGGGGCAGAGGTTGCAGTGAGCCAAGATTGCTCCACTGCACTCCAGCCTGGGCCACAAAACTCTGTCTCAATAATATAAAAATAATAATAAAATTTAAAACATCTCCCTCTCCTTATAAGGACACCAGCCATTGGATTAAGGTCCATCCTCATGACCTCATCTTCACTTGATTACATTGGAAAAACCACATTCATAGGTACCAGGGGTTAGGATTTTAACTTATCTTTTGATGGGACAGGGGGTGGGGGTAGTGGGGAAGACACAATTCGACCCATAATGGATGCCATAAATAATTAGGGATATCCAGCATTGGTGAGGGAAGGGAAAGGGCCACCTATCTGCTAAATCTGCTCTATCATGTTTAATTTTGGTATCATTTAGTTGGAAATGAGCACCACCTGCTATGACAATTGGTTATTTCTCTCTCTCTCTCTAATCCTCTAATCTACCTATCTTCCTACCTGCATGCCTACCTATCTATCTATTCTCTATCCTCTATGTATAATCTATCATCCGTATCCATTTATTTACCTTCTTAAATAGATTGAAAGTTCCACGAGGGCAGGGATTGTCATTTACACCCCTTGTAAATTTCTCCACTGGCTAAGCCAGGATCTAGACAGATGTAGTAGGCACTCAATAAATACTTTTTCAGTCACTAATTTTCATTGTTTGGACTCTGAAATTAAATCAGGAAGAGGTCTCTGACACACAATCCTCTAGGGACTTCTGAGGATAGAGTTGGCTCATTCACAGCTTGCCCACCTGCACTCTGTCTTCCCGGCTCCCCTCAATGTTCAACAGATCTCGTCTACCAAATCTTATGTGTGTACTGGGGTGTCTCCCGCTAATAGGACAGCCCTGTAATTGTTCAGTGAGATTATAACGTCAGCCTCATCCATCAAGCTCTCCGCTAAGTAGTTTGGTTTTCCTAATGGAAAGCAGTGTCCTAAACAAGAAGGGAAGCGTCCTAATGTGGGGTTTTATGTAGGTTGGTTTCTAGCTGTGAGCTATGGACCTGAAATGATAGTTAAATCGATGGAGAGGCACTAAGCTATAGCCTGTGAATCTGGGCATCCGTAAAACCCAATTATTAACAGCCCTGAGTGGATGCGTTGCACGCTGGCTCTCCCAGCTTTGACTGGGGCTCTCTCTCTCTCTCTCCAGACAGAAACGGCCCAAGAGAAATGGAAATATGATGGCTGGTTGATTGTTTCGCAGTCTGCATGACAGACCACCCTCCTAACAAGACTCTAGGTCAAGTGCTCTTCTCTGCCCTGTGGATCTACTGGGGAGAAATTAGCTCTCGGTGGTATTTCCAATTATGGAGAAAAGCGATTCCTCCCTGGTCTGGCTATCATGTGTTTTGCAGTGGACCAAGAGACATGAAGCCCGTTTTCCACCCTCGCCTCTTTCTCCATCTAGCTGCATGACCTTGGGAGGTGGCGTGACCTCTCGGCTTCTTTGCTGCCTCATCTGTCATGATCCACCTTTACTACTTCATAGCCATGTTCTAGGATAAATGAGAGAAGCCTCTACATCTTTTAGTCTCCCAGAAAGACTGGAACCAGGTAAATGCAAAGTGGAGCCGTTTCCTTTGTTTTTGCTGCCTGAGTTACTAACGTGTGGGATTTTTTTTAATAATGGCAAAAATGGATGGATTTATGCAATTACTTTTGTTTTTGTTTTGTTTTGTTTTATTTTTCCTCTGGGGGGAGTCTTGAGGCATTCTAGGCATTCTATACATTATTCTCTTGTATAATTGTTCATCTCTTCTATGGAGTGGATATTGGTATGCCCCTTTCTTAGCAAACTGATGGAGGCTGGCCTCAAA